>NC_000001.11:59250804-59402319 GCF_000001405.40 Homo sapiens | reverse complement strand
TAATAATATCACTTTTTACCATGGTAGATAAGTATACACGGCTGACCCATCCCTTCACAATACCCCAAGCTACATGTCCGTGCTCTGTCCACTCCACACTGTCGACCATTTCCTAAAGAGGCAACGAATGTTCACATCTTCTTTCATGTTCATGCTTTTGTCCATCATGTCCTGACTTCACCTGTCCACTGTACTCGCCCCTACATATCCAACTCATTAGCTACCACTTCCTGCACTAAGTGATGAAGACACACAATTTACCTCTGCAGTCAGAAAGCTTATAGCCTAGTGGGAGGTAAGGACAAGTAAATAAATCGAAACACTGAATAGTATGCCCAAGACAAGGAAAAACACAGAACGCCATGGTACCTTGGAAGCAAGGCCTGGGCCCCAGTCTTGGTGCACCTCTCTGAGGCCCCACTCTCCCCCATTCCTTCCTCCTCCTCTCCATAATCCTACCACGATTCACTGTTCCTCATGTTTCCTTTATTGTACTGTTCATTCCTTAGTCACAAGACTTTTCACATTGAGTCATGACTTATGACTTGATTATTTATCTCTATTACTAGAATCAATTCCTTGAGGGAATTCATTAGTTTAACTGGCCAATACTTGTTGAGTGGCTTACAAGACTATAGTAGTTAAAAGCATGAGTTTTGTTTTATCACTTAAATCCTGGCAAGGACTTATTAACCATTCGACTCTGGGCAGGGTTACTTAATATCTCTGCCTCACAACATTTTCCGTATCTCTAAAATGGGGTTGTTCAACAAGAAATATACTCAAGTTTAACATGGCAACAATGTTCACCAAAATCACTACCAGTTTCGTCTTTGGTCTGTCTCTGGCATTGCCTATTTCAACACGGGCATGATCAATGTGCATGATCAATGACAATGTGATAGCAAGGGTCTCCATCATATCAAGACATTGTTACAATGTCAGTAATACAAAGCAGTTTGGAATTTATTGTTAATAACATAATATTCACTTCCAAAAACAGGTAAGCAATTTAGATCTAATCTAGGGTGAAAAAACCTACTTATGGGCTTTATACATTGAAGATGCATCCCTTAGTTGAATATTATGACAGAAAAATGTTATCAATGCTGACATTAAAAACTGTTATTATGTGCCAATTATTAGGAAATTTTAAATAATTTAACAGGATAAGATTAATAGTTAAACCGAACACTAAGAAAGAGAGTATTAGCTACTTGACGAAGAACATTGTATATTTTTTGAGACTATGAATTTTTAT
Source organism: Homo sapiens (assembly GCF_000001405.40). Classification (NCBI taxonomy): domain Eukaryota; kingdom Metazoa; phylum Chordata; class Mammalia; order Primates; family Hominidae; genus Homo; species Homo sapiens. The sequence continues at coordinate 59,401,058 of NC_000001.11, read as the reverse complement.
AAAATGTCAAATAATACAAAGCAAAATACTACTAAAATGAGATATTATAATTCTCATCTTTATGGAACTGCTTAGTTCTCATACTCATAACATATATAAAATAATAATTAAGAATTACAGAGGCCAAGCATGGTGGCTCATGCCTTTAATCCCAAGCACTCTGAGAGGCTGAGGAGGGCAGATTGCTCGAGCCTGGGAGGTCAAGGCTGCAGTGAGCCATGATCACGCCACTGCACTTGAGCCTGGGTGACAGAGCAAGACCCTATCTCAAAAATAAAAAATAAAAATAATTATATAAAATATTTGGTTTAGTTCTACTTATGTCAAGAGTCTTTCAAGGTAACATTCTATTTGGGAATTCCTCATAGTTTATAAAGAAGAGTTAAAAGCAGAATGTCAACCTTACTATTTCCACATTGCACAAGGAAAACTCCAAAATATGTTACAAGAACACTAATGACAAATCATCCTGATATAAACTTAACAAAAAATACAGAATACAAAAAAAAAAAACAAAACAGAATTGTTAGAGAAAAAAATGAAGGTCTCAAAACGTACTTTGTGCTTACTTTAAAATTACAAATTTTAAAGTATGCCATAAGAGGATATTTCCTCAAAGTTTTGAGGCTATGAAGGATGTGACACTGATATTCAGGTGAGAAGTCATGTCTAGAATACATATTTATGACGTAAGTCACAATAAGCAATCACTGGTGTTCTTTAAGGTAGGTGGTAAGCATGCAGCTTAGATTGTAGGAGGTTGAGTGAATGGGTGAATAAATGAAAGGAGTGGGTGTTTATCATTCACAAGGGAGATCTGACTACAAAAGGAGAGAAATGGGGCAGTGGCCTGCAGCCCAATTCTGCAGTGCTTTCACTTATTAAGACAGAAAATACAGGCTGAAATATCATGAAACATATTACATCTGCACACACCAGACTAAGGGATTGTTGCTGTTTCTGGTACCAAAAATGTATTAATATATATAATGCTGACTCCACCTTACCATCCAAAACACACTTGGTTTCTAAACACTTAGCTTTAACTAAGCCAGTTTCCTCAACAACTTTGAGAACAGAAAAGCAAAACTTTGAGGCCAAGGCATTTTCATGTTCAAGTCCATCCACGATTTTGAACATTTGTGATGTTCCTTACAAAGCACCCAGATTGAGCATCTATACACTTCTAGACTGAACAGAATGGAAAGTACACATACACACATCAATACCTGAGTGTATATATACTGTGTCAGATCACAAGTGTGATTCTGAAGTTCTCAGAAATGCAAGAATCCATTCTTAAGAAGTGTCTTTTAATCTCTAAAGATATATGCATGGCATAAGGAACACAAAGAAAAAAATTATATTATATGGAAAGCTCTAATTGGAGAGGATAATATCATTGTATATCATGTCAAGAATGCACAGTAAGTGCTAGATACTTTATGTACAATATTTAATCCTTACAAAGAGCTATTGTCATCCCTATTACAAATGATGAAACTGTGGTTCAGGGGAACCTAAGTAGGTAACCAAAAACAAGAATTCAGAGAGTCCGCTTTGCCAGTAATCTAACTCTGTTACTATGGGAAAGTTTCTTAACTTCTCTAAACCTTACCTAACTCATCTATAAAATGAGTATAATCATACCTATTTAAGAAAGTTAAAGGAATAAGTGATAAATAATCACTTATATCCTGGGCCTAATATAATGCCTGACATATAAGTATTATTCAATAAATAGCATCTGTGTTGACTGTTACTGTTATTGCCCAAGACGACACAACAAGCAAGGGACAAAGGGGTATTTAAACTCATATTTATTAGACTGATTCTAAAACCGATGCAAACAATAGCATTTGAGGACTATCCCAGCATTACTGTGTCAATGCTTTAAATGTATTAACACAATCATCACAATAACTCTATAAAATAGGAACTATTATGCCCACTATACAGATGAAGAAACTGAGATACAAAGAGGCCCAATTGTAAATCTCTATTGGAAACTTGACCAGGCTTCCTTTACACCCAATGTTAGGTACTTCCAATAACATATGATTCTAATAAATACCATCACCACATGCATTTATATTTCATAATGATACATCCACATTTTGAAGCCACATACATTGCCACAAACATGTTTTGGGAATAGCAGGGATACAGAAAAGGACACTGTTTTGAGTTCTTTGAGAAGACAGTCACTATATAAATAGAAGTTAATATTATTATTACTATTTTGCAAAGACATGACCAAGTTGCAATTAGGAATTTTACAATTTAATCAGCAAATGAGGTTCTAGTATAATCAAACTGGACTTCTCTCTAGATTTTCTCATTCTGAAAAATTTCAACATCTGAATTATTTAAAGTATACCCAAGAGTGGTCCCCAAAACTGGATATGAACTGATGCTCACAACCAAAAGCCCACAAATGGAGGTAAACAGGAAGGTCAACATATCCCATTTTCCCATGGCAAATGGCCTCTGAAAACACTTTTTAAAAATACTTTTACAACCTGGGCATGGTGGCTCATGCCTGTAATACCAGAACTTTGGAAGGCTGAGGCAGGTGGATCATTTGAGGTTAGGAGTTCAAGACCAGCCTGGCCAATATGGTGAAACACCATCTCTACTAAAAATACAAAAATTAGCCAGGCGTGGTGGCGTGCACCTGTAGTCCCAGCTACTCAGGAGACTGAGGCAGGAAAATCGATTGAGCCTGGGAAGCAGAGGTTGCAGTGCACTGAGACTGTGCCACTGCACAATCCAGACTGACTGAGTGAAACCATGTCTCAAAAAAAAAAATTTTTTTTTACAGTAAAATCATGATCAACAATAATTAGACAAAATTGACTGTAGCTGGAGAAAAATGCTGCCATGAGTGGCTAAAACATGTGCAACCTATAATAAAAGGACACAGGATCATCATGTAAGTTGAGGCCTCACAGACTCAACCCATCTATAATCCCATCCCATTAAGACCAGAAGAAGCAGCTGGCTTCTCCCAAAACAAGTCCTGGAGAAACAAAATTAGAAGGGCCCCCATCCTTTAGATGTGTTCTTGAAAATATCAAGTTCTTGATCTGGATGGGTTTTTACAGACAGTTGACAGGTCAGACCTGACTGAGTAGATGCTATTTCAAAGGTCAAAGAGTTGGCAAAATGGATATGACTGTTGTCAAATAGGAATGAGCTCCCTTTGAAGTCTGAGGCTTAGATGGGCTGATTCCGAAGTACTCCCTGTGAATGAGCAAAGGCAAGGGTAAAAAGTAAAAATGCTGTCCCGTGTAAGCTGAGACCTTTTTTAAACTAATACAGGGTATACTGCCCCGCCCTTTTATGGGGCACAACCTGCCATTAAAATCTTGGTGAAAAGGAACCACCCACCCACCTGTGAAGTGGGATGGTGCTGGCAAATAGTCACAACAAACACTTCACTGCCTACACCCTGCAGATGTCTGCAAAAAAAAGCCTTCCTCAAAGTCTTCCTACATCCAGTATAGTCCACTAGTATCTGCCTTGCCCTCTATTTACTTGTGCTTACCTGCTTTCTTTCCTCCATGGTTTGTATTCTAGTCTGTGGATAAATCTAGCCAAACTTGTTGTGATACCACCAAATACATGAGTTGTTTCTGTGGCTGTTATTCAGGAAGTTTCACTATGTTGTTTGTTATCTGAACCTGCTCTTTCAGTTTAGTAAATCAGACTAATATTCCACCTCGTAAATCAGAAACACAACGCCACGTCCCTTGTCCCAGCAGCCCTGGTAGCCGTGGAATGGAATACCAGTGGAATTAAGGGAAGTTCCTGCAGACTCAAATATCACAGAAATGCAATAATTTGTCTTTATTAATAGAAGGTCAAATACCATGTATCTCTGACAGTTGCATCAATATTTGTACAGTCCTTGGGTCTTGACTTTCAGCAATGGCCTCTTTAACAGAAAAAAACTTAAGTCTAAATCCTGACATTGTTAAATCACTTTTAGATACCTTTCTTTTAAAAAAAAAAAAAAAGCAGACTCAAGACATAATGCATTCAAACTGGTGCCTAGTTTTCTCTGCAACTGAACCTCCCAGAATTTCGATCCTTGGAATACCAGCCATTGTGGAATGCTGTGGATTCCTTGTTGCTCTGCAAAATCTATAATCCATTTCTTAGAACACTCACTGGTAAATATGCTAGTGACTAACTCTATCTCTTACAGCTTCCTTCAGTATAGATACAACAAGCATGAATTGAGTGCTCATCATGCATCTCCATAAATTCTCACATCATTAAAACATTAGTAATATTATCCCCATTTTAAAGATGAGGGAACTGTTGCTCAGAAAAATTACTTTCCTAGAATCACATAGATAGAGAGACTGAACTGGGATTCCAAGTCCAGTTTGAAGTCCAGTGTCCCTTTTTTCTACCATTTGTAAACCAACAGTCCAAAGGACCTGAGGCCACTTCTAGGAAGTGCGATAACATCAAACTTTGATTCCCCACTCACTGATTCTGCTACTTCCCCTTTCTCTGTTATCCCTGCACCTCTGGGCTCCTTCTTCACTCACCAGTTAGGGGAGTCTGAGACAGCAGGGCTGAATGGAGGAGGTACTATATTTTTTAAATTTCCTGATCCTAAAAGCTATCACAGGAAAAAAAAATCAAAAGAAACAAACACTGTCAAGCTACAGACACACCTGAAACCTTCAAAATTTCTCAGAAACTTTAGCAAAAACATTCACTGAGGTTAGAGCTTAGTCCCCACATTAATGTCACAAAAATCAGGAGTATGCAAAAGTGAGACACCCAAAATTATGACTTCTTAAGAAAAGCAAAAATCAGGGGTAAAATTCCAGAGAAAATGGCTGAGTCTTGGCCAGTGGTTCTCAAACTTTAGCATCCATCAGATTCTTCTGGAGGATTTTTTTAAAACACAAATTATTTGGTCCCACTCCCAAGAGTTTCTGATTGAGTAGGGTGGGAGTGAGGCCACAGAATTTGCATTTCCAATGTATTTCCAAGTGACGCTGCTCATGCTGCTGGTCTGAAGGCCATACTTCCAGAACAACTGGCTTAGGGTGATTATTTGCCTAATGAATGAACTCTTTACATTAGAGAAATAGGTCTCTGTTGGATTCCTTTAATAATTAGTTAACAAACAAGTACTAAGCTAATTAGTACTAATCAGAGGCAAGGAACCATTATGGCAAACAGCCTGAATTCTGGAGCCAGACTGCCCAGGTTAAAATCCCAACTCTGCCAATCATTGTGTGACCACCGGCAAGTTCCTTAGCCTCTTTTGAGTCTGTTTCTTTATCTGTAGAAAACAGATGATAATTATAATACATATAACATAAGAATATTGGGAGGACTGAAGGGGTTAATGTATCTAAAATACTCACAATAGTGGCCAGCATGTTAAGTGCTCTGTTAAGCATAAAATACAAGCACTATTATTATTATAATTTCTTCTACCTCTAGAACTGCCAACCACTGTATTAGGACTTGGGGATAGAGCTGTGAACAGAACATATATGGTCCCTGTACTCATGAAGTTACAACTAGCAAAGAAGATACAACTTAAACAGGTGTTTCCAAGCATTATCTGCTTAAATCAGAAGGCTGAATGCAGGGAAACAAAGAAAATGCTACAAAGTCATTACAGATTGGAGATCAATCAGGCATTAAAAACACCTTTTAAATTAGAATATACACCAAGGGAAAAATATAACTTTTCTGGAACAAACTATTGCAGCTTTTAAAATATAATGGTATGAAAAAAAACTCTTCCCAGTCGATTTCTCAGATTTCTCAACACCTAACACGTGTCATGCACTCTGTACCGGGGTTATAAAAGTGAATAGACTGTAGTATCTTCATCCAAAGACCTCCTAGGCTGTTAGAAGAAAAATGTATGTCAAGAAATAATTACACTACAATGAGAGAAGTTCTTGAAGAACTATAGGAAAAATGAAACAGTAGTGTGTAACTGCCCAAAAGAGTCTGTGTAACTGCCCAAAATTCACAAATAATATTTAAGTTGGGTCTCGAAGGGTGAATAGCAGTTGACAAGCAGAAAAAAGGGCAAATGATACTCTGCGGGGAGGAAACAGTACGTGCAAAGTCAAGAAGACATGAAAAGGCCTGGTTTGCCCAGAGATTGAGGAGATGTCTGATGTGGCTGAAAGGCTGGTGAGTGATAAGGACCAGCAGGAGATGAGCTTAGTCTCAGTGCTGTGAAAATATCACCAATTTTCTGAATAATGTGCATTTGGAGCTGTCTGGATAAGGGTTGAAGATGGTAAGGAAATAAATATGTAAAGTGATAGTCCATGGGTTTTTCAATGCAAATCTGAAGTTACCCTTGCACTATTCCCTCCAGAAGGTGAATATTTTAATGGTAGACAATAGTATTTAGCTCCATTTGCCTAGGTCTTATACGCCAGCAACAAATAATAAAAACAGCAGCAGGAATAGCTAATGTTGAGTCCTTAGCAGGTTGTACTATGAGCTTTATACACTTGAACCTGTTCAATCCCGCAACAAGCCCATGAAATATAAATAAGACAATGAAGTGCAGAAATGGTATGTAACGTGCTCAAGGTCACACAATAAGTCCCAGGGTGGGCATTTTACACCAGAGCCAAAGTTCAACCACTCACCCTCGAGTCTACTATCCTTCCTCCATGAAGGATGCTCTCGGATTTTGTAGGGCCTGAAGCTTTTATGTAAAGGCTCTTTAAGAAAAGGAATACAATTATGAATATGAGATTAAGTACAATAGTGATATTTATTTACAGTAAGAAAAAAGTTTAAAAACAAATACCTTGAGCTTTGAGGATGTAGGTCCCTTTTATCTGATCAGTGTACCCTTTGCAGGGCTGGATTAATGAAGTTTGCTTGATAGGGCACTAGGCCCATTATTGGCACTCACCTCTAGAACAAAGAAAAATACTGGCCCTTCCAAGGCAAAACAAAGGCAGACTTTTCCCCCAACAGATCCCTTTTCCTTTGTAAGAGACACTACGCAGACCTTTGGTCCTCCACTGAACTACATTTAAAATAGCTTTTGTGAAGGATAGACACAGTGGCCATTCTTATATATGTGTGTGCAAGCAGCAAAGAAGTGATTGTAATATGAACAATGTGTACTTCTTCCCACTTCTGACAGAATAGACGACATTGTGTCCTGAGCCTGGGAGGGGGTTGGGGGCCAAAATAAAGAAACCAAACCTTAAGTTTTATTACATGAAATTCTGATAAAAAGCACTTCGAAGCCTCTTTCCCATCATCAAAAAACCACACTGGGCAAGATCAGAGCTTAACAGCCAACAAAAAAACACATTCAATCCCTGAGATCATTTTCCTGAAATAGAAAACTACATATGTTTCTCAAATTTCACATCAAGCCACTGCAGAGGCCAGACTGCAGGGCTGATTTGGGCCAAAGTAAGTAAGAGAGAAGGGAGAGAGGAGGGGGATGGGGTGGGAAAGGGAGTAAACAGGAGAAAATGAGCCCGTTCTTCCACATCACCACATTTCTCTAGCACAATCTAAACTTACAAACACCCCCTGTTTCACAGAACTTGTAGTGAGGCTTGCTTATCGGGCAGCCTTTACTTTGTCAAATTAAGACACATTGCCTTGGATTAGCAAGACTCCTTAAATTCAAAATGACTTCACGGTTGGCTCAGAGTGCAGTGTCTCTAGGGCCAGCCGCCAGGAACACATCCACTGCAGAGGTCCCTCCCCCACATACTGACCTACCTGACTTTTCCATGGAGACAGCAGAGCAAAATCCTAAGCAGACAGGCTGTCAATGTTAATTAAAGGTCCAAACACCTCTTTAGAAACTATCTCCAGCTCAATATTTATACAGAACATAAGACTCCTAACAGGCAGGGTTGGGGAGAAGAGGAGGAGGTTAAGGGCGGAAATAGGTTTGAATGGCATTTGGAATCCATTAATTTTTAAAAGACAGGCTGCCACCTTATATAGACCCAGAGAGGTTCAAAATGTAACAAAACCAGGAAGATGAATGAGCTGAAGATTGTTTAGAAAGCCTGGCAAGAGTGCTCCGCTTTTGAAAAGAATAATATCTGGGCAATAATGAGAGCTGACATTTTTTATTGGTGAATGCAGTTTTTGGCACATTTTAACAATACAGGTTGACAATTTTTTGTATTTAACAAAAGGAAAAGCAATCTTCTAAATGATCTGGGAACAGAGGGCTCCCTGACTGCAATTTCTTAATAACATGTAAGAATTCTCTTCAAAGGCCCTTGATAATTTACAGAGAAGAAGGAAAAATGAAGAAAAATTTTAAAAGAAGGTATATTTTTTCGAAAAAGAAACAAAATAGAAGTAGTAAAGGAGAAAAAGGAGGAAAGGAAAGGGTACAGCATTTTAACATTAAATCATAGCCCAAAGGGTTGGATTCTAAGGTTTGACTTTAGCAATCTCCTTTCAAAGGAATGAGTTTTAAAGGAGAATCCAAAAGGAGATGCTGGTCAACCCCACTACATCTTACAGACTCAGAACTTTGGGCCTGGGAAGTACTAAATAAATCACCCACTCCAAGCAGCACATTTTGCAGATGAGAAAAGTCTGATATGGGTGCCAGGGGCCCCAAGTTACCTGGTTGGACCAGACACGAGTCTTACGAGCTCCAAGCCACACCACTTCTGTATCTTGTGATGTAGGTCCTGAAAACCGCCAAGCCTTAAGAGCTCTAGTGCCACTTGATTCCAAGACTGAATACTGATACCTTTAACCAGATTGACTGATTTGAACCTCTACCAAGGTTCTTGAGACTACCAAGAATCACATAAGTATAACATATTCCGAAAGTATGAAGTTCACAAAATAGTCCACTGACAGAGTTAGCCACCCTGGGTAAGAAATGAATTTAAGAGTTCACAAAGACTGAGATGCCCACTGTATCCTGAGGGAGGCCTTCTTGGGTCAGGAAAAAGACTCCTGAACAAGGCATGATCCAGGAATGTACCCCTTAAAATTTAACTCTTATTCCACACACTGGCTTCACCCTCAGAATGAAACCCTTCTGAGTTTCAGTTCTGTTCCCTGAAACACGAGATCTAACTCTCTAGCATCTTCACAGTTCCAAAACATTTTCAACAGAGAATATAGTATCATATCTATTTGTAAGTGAGGAATCAAATTCAGAGAGAGTTCTACTTTATCATATTGAAAAAGCAAATGAAATTAAATTCCAAAAGTGATTCAAGGTCTCAGAGAAAATTGTTCAGTAAAGGAAAAGCTATACTGCTGCTCAGTTGGAAAATGACAGTCATGCTAGAGATCATCTTTCAGCCACATAAAATCCACATCTAGACGTACACAGCAGAGAACTGGGGAAAAAGCTTTATAGAAATGGAACAGATTCAGACTAGTGGTTCTCAGTGAAGAGTGCACATCATAATCGTCGAGGTCACACAGTTTTACCCTTTCCTCCAAAGGACAAAGATGGGGCTTCTCACCCTTTTCTATCCAGATTTGCTTTACTAATGAAAAGAGAAAGAAGCAACCTCAACCTTCCTCAGACTTTGCCTCAATGTAGCAGAGAGGGACAGTCAGTGATGTAACAAGTGAGTACAAGTGCAAGGCACAGTCCCTGAGAACCTGTGCCTTAACTCATGCTTCTCATGATGTTAGCACCTCCTACTTCCTCCTACTCCCTCCGACTCCCCCACTGCCTCCAGCCCGACTGACCCAGCATGCTTCATCCTCTCTCGCCCTCCCTGGACTTTAAGCCTCTGAACTCAGGTTGGGCTGGCCTGAAATCTCCTGGGCACCTACCCATTTCTTCACCCCCACAATGTCTCTGAGACCCCTCAGTGGATGACTCTCTCCACAGGTAGCCAAAATCAAATCCCAAGCCAGGGAGGAGGTGGAGAAAAAGGTCATCGAACCACAGGTTTACTAGGTTTCTAAATGGTCCCTCTTCCTCACCCCATCCACAAGCTATTTAACTGAGTTCGGATTTATCTTAAAAGTGGCAGAGCAAAACTTTGAACTAAGGATTATTTGGCTCTTATACGGGTTTGAATAGTCAAATACATGTGTACCTATCAATTACTGGATTAGGGAGAGAATGCCTCACAGATGCTTTACTAATATATATGTAAGGAATAAGTGAATGAATGAATGTATTAATGAATAATGAAACTTGTGAGTTACATTGCTCAGATTATATACTATCTCCCTCATGATCACCACCTTCTCCCTTTACCTTGTGACTATCATTGGACTATAAATTGGTGTCTGTGATACTGGTCAATGTAAATTGCTGAGAAATTATGATTTTGAGTGTCTTTTTACCCACCCCATATCAATTCTCCCTTTTTATTTAGTAAGAAAACCCCAATATTTGGATAGGAAGACACCCAGATAAAAGCCTACACTGCCCCGATTCCCCTTCACCTCAGTTTGATTATAAACCTAGCTGCTGGTCAATAATATACAAGCACAAGTATGACGTAGATCTTCTAAGAAGATTGTTTAAAGAAGGCTCACTCCAATGTGAGGCACATCCTTTGTATGCACCACACCCACTTCCTTCTTCCTGCTACATGGACTGTGGACTTGATAATGGAAACTTCAACCGCCATCTTGGACCATGAGGTGATCTTGAAAATAGAACTCAGGACTAAAAAACATCAAAAAAGCTAGTGTCCTTGATGACTTTATGGGGAAATCACAGTAGCCCAAGACTCCATATATCTATATTTATTCACAGGAAAGAATGAGCCCTTATGTGTTTAAGTAACTGTTATTTTGAAATGCCTATTATTTCTACTATCATTAGTGAAGAGATAAGGATATTTCTTCTGTAGAGAGTGAAAACACTCTTCTTTCTCAAAAATAAGGGTAAAGAATATCTAATATTTACTGGTTATTTCTCAGCACTATTAAATATACTAAAAAATAAGCTGGTGAGAGAGGATGACTGAATCCTTCCTAGAACTTAGAAGAGCTGCTTTAAATACCACTGTTCTGAGAAATCATCCTTCAACACAACCATAAAACAATGCAAATCAAGGAGCTTTAGCATCAAGCACATCAGAAGTAACTGTGCTTCTCCCCTTACTCTCAGACACCTTTAATTTTTAATTTTATGACACTCCCTGGGGTATCCTTGCCAAAAAAAGTTACTTCTAGGATGATATAAATTCAATCAATTTTACTTTCATCCCACAGATTTCTAGTATTTTAAAAAATCAATTCTTAAACCACAATAAGAGACTACTTTATATCTACTACAATGGGTATAATTTTTTTAAAGGAGAGGGAAATAAGAGCTGGGGAGGATGTGGAGGAATTAGAACTTTCATATATTTCTGGTGGGAATGTAAAATGGAGCAGCCATAGTGGAAACATCTGGTGGTTCCTCACCAAGCTAAACTTAGAATGACCCTATGGAACCAGTAATTTCACTCCTTAGATATACACCAAAAAGAACTAAAAGCAGAGACCCAAAGATACTTATATACCAATGTTCGCCACAGCATCATTGACAATAGCCAAAAGGTAGAAACGATGCAAATGTCCACCAACAGGTCCATTTGGACAAGATGAATGGACAAGCAAAATGTAGTATATGCACACAATAGGATGTGATTATTCAGTCATAAAAAAGAAAGGCTGACACATGCTCCAGCATAGACACACCTTGAAAACATTATGTTAAGTGAAATATGCCAGACGCAAAAGGATAAATACTATATAAGTCTACTTAAATGGGGTATCTGGAATAGGCAAATTCATAGCAGACATAAAGTAGATTAGAGTTTAAGAGGGGAGAGGGAGGGATAAAAATAGTAAAGTTTTTATCTGTTCACTCAGCCGTGGGCGGATCACAAGGTCAGGAGTTCAAGACCTGCCTAACCAATATGGTGAAACCCTGTCTCTACTAAAAATACAAAAATTAGTCAGGTGTGGTGGCACACACCTGTAGTCCCAGCTACTCAGTAGGCTAAGGCAGGAGAATCGCTTGAACCCTGGAGGCAGAGGTTGCAGTGAGCCAAAATTACGACACTGCACTCCGGCCTGGGCGACAGAGCAAGACCCTGTCTAAAAAAAAGAGGGGATAGGTAAAGAGGGAAATGGGGAGTTATTATTTAATAGTAGCAGCTTCCGTTTGGGGTGATAAATAAGTTTTAGAAATAGATAGTGGTAATGACTGCACACCATGAGGAATGTAATTCATGACACTGAATTATATACCTAAAAATAATTAAAATGGCAAATTTTATGCTATATGTATTATTAAAATTAATAAAAATAAGTAATGTAATCTGCAAAAATCATTGAATAGTATACTTTAAATTAGTGAATCATATAGTATGTGAATTATATGTAATTATGTATACTATATACATCTAAAGATGTTTTCTAAAAAAATCAACTCTTATCTCAGATATACTAATGAGACAGGAGATGAAGAGGCCAAGTACCAAGGAAGGGATGTGGACTGTAGTCACCACAGGCAGGCACGTATTAAGGTGCAAGTTTCTCCCTTCTTCTCCTGCTGCTGCCTCTGCTCTCTGGGGAGAATGAGACTTCCACCCGACCTCCTCTCTCCACTCAGAGAAGCACCAGAGACACAGAGTTGACTTTGCACCCCATCCTCTTACTCAATTTTCTCCAAGACGGTAAGGGAAATTCATGTAATCATTAAGAGACTGGAATAGATTAAGCCACATTTTAAGGGTCACTGTGTTAAAGAAAAGGTGATAATAATGAGCTCACACTTTCACCTCCTATGCCCAAGTGTGACCAGCATGGCTTCCCACTGCCATGTGGTAATCATACCCAAGCAGGTCTGGATTCATATTGCTAAGCTGCTAGACTTGAGATAGGGTTGGCAAATCGGGTCTTCCTTCCTGCCCCAACTCCTATGTATGTACACATACCTGAACATGCAGACGGGGTTTAACTGCACTTCTGAGCTGTATTATCCATCTAGTATATTAGAAGTTCTATACACTAGAGGCTAAAGAGTATTTTCTGAGATAATAAGACAACTTTTCACTCCTCATTTAGCTAATATGTTTTAATGTAGTCTCTATCAGTCAGAACTCCAATAGCAAGAAAGAGTGAGTGGCCCTCTGAATCCTTAACAGCAGGGATACCTGTAAGGGAGTATGAGGATTAATTTTAATTGCCTTAAGTGTGATAATGATGTTGTGGTTATAAAGGAAAATGTTGTTAGTATTGGCTGATCAGGTGGAGAATACTGTGAGGTCTGCAATTTATTTACAAATGGTTCAGCAAAATAATTACAGGTCTGTGTGTCAGAGGTAGGTAAGGTGTGCACTAAAGAGCACAAAAGTAATAAAATGTTAGCAACTGATTAACGTAGGTAAAAGGTATAAGGGTGTTCAATATGCCATTCTCTCAAGTTTTCTGTAGGTTTAAATTTTTCTGGAAATTATACTGCAAAAAAATTTTTTTTTAAATTCTCACCAAAATTGAAGAAAACACTGAACTCCCAATACAAATATTAGCAATTGACATAAACATCATTGAAATATATAACACTAATTGTCATAATTAGTAATTGACAATGACATACATAAATAAGTGGTTGATAAATATAAGAAAAATTAATTGCATTCAATAATCAAAAATGCAAATTAAAATAAGATCCCATTTCAAGCCCAAACCCTTGACAAAATTGATACTGACATAGGATAGGATACTATACAGATGTCAAAAATATTTTTATACATTAATATGAAAAATACAACATATTAAGTAAAAAAATAAGTTGTACAAAGCATATTTCCAATTTTTTAACAAAAGAAAAATCAGTAGAATAAGAGTCTAAATAATGGTTTTGTATTTGAGATCCTATGAATTGTATTTAGAAAATGACTACAGATCAATAACCCAACATAATCATCTCCTGACAGACTGGTAAAAACCCACAAGATGAATAACAATACAATAATATCCCTTATAAACCCAAAACACAGAGAACCACACACATCAGAAACGTAATAATTATTTTAAAGAGACTTCAGTTTCTAAAAGCCATGAATTCATCTCTTTAAAGGAAAAGGTAGAATATTTACTAATAACCCATACAGAATTATACATTATAATGGAGGGGAGAGGAAAAGTAAAATGAGTAAGTAGAATATGTAAATTTAATATAAAGAAATATAAGAAATAATAAACCTAAAATTATAGAAATTCAACCGTTTTCGCATATGCCACAGAAATGTCTCAGAAATTCTAACATTTAACCAGTAAACCAAACTTACTTACAGTGTCTCTTGTTTGTACATAAGAAGCCTTGTAAATAATTTATTTTAGTTCAAAGCCATAAAAAAGGTGAACTGAGACAAGACAAATCTCCCATAAAGAATAATTCAAAGTAATATATGTAGATACTACAGTCTCAAGAAAATGAAGCATAACTACTCCCCACTCCTTATGTGTGGGCTGTGCATAGTGACTTCCTTCCAAAAAGTACAATATGGTGGGGGGTGGGGGGTGGAAGAGTAATTTAGAGTGGAGAAACCTGACAATATCTCAGCCAGGTGATCAAGTTGAACATCAATAGTGTTAAGTTGTGATAAGAGTGTGTTCGCTTGATAGGTTGAGAAAGGTATTTTATCTCTATGGTCTTCCTCCGAAAAACAAACTACCCAAGTCTCACCATGAGAAAACATCAGACAAATTTCAATGGAGGGACATCCAACAATATACATGACCAATACACTTCAAAACTGTCAAGGGTATCAAAAAGAAAGAAAGACGCAGAAACTATCACAGCCAAGAAGAGCCTGAGAAGGCGTGACTAAATGTAACATGGTAAAAAGGCCATTAGGTAAAAACTAAAAAAATCGGAATAAAGTATGGAATTTTATTAATGATAATATATCAATATCAGTCCATTAATTATGACAAATGTATCATAATAATATATTAATGGGAGAAACTGGACATCAAGTATATGGGAATTCTGTAGCGTCTTCACAATTTTTCTATAATCCTAAAACTATTTTAAAATTAAAATTTTGTTCAAAATTATAACTAAATTTAATAGCACATACTTTTAAATAATTTATATTGTCTACCCTTGATCATCTAGGATTAATTTCTCTCAGACTCCCAATGTTAGAAAAAGTTCTACTTCCCTTGAACAGCAGTAAAGTTTTTATCTGTTCACTCAGTTAATCTTGATTAAGCTCTGTCTTTGCTTTGGCCACTAGGAAGCTTGGAAACAAAGTTATTAGTAATTATGAATTCTCTAAAGGTTCTCTAAAGCTCTTAGCTTCAGCTCAGTTATCTTATCATTATTTTCACTCCATTCTGATTTTTTTCTATTTTGTACGACTTTTTCTTATATTATTATTATTAGTCACCTCAAATCTCTTTAGAGGGAGAATTTATACATATATTTTTCTGACTACTAAAAAATTCCTACTATTCAAATGTTTGACTTCCCATTTCTCATGTCATCAAAATTGTAGACAGTAACCCACTTAATAGCAAGAATGTGGCAAATTACTAAAGCATTCTGCTTCAGTTCTTGAATTGCAAAGCGGTAATGACACCACCTGCTGTAAGGATGGTCATGAGGACTAACAGAGTTAACATTTGCTAAATATGCCTAGCACAGATAAAGGAAAGGCACTCAATAAGTGATAATTACCATTATTATTATTAACAAAAATAGCAATAATTATTTTCATTAATATAAGAAAAAGAATGGAGCTGAATTACAAACTAATCATGGGCCAAATGGTGATTTTCTCAGTGACCCAGATAAAGAAAAGTAGCTGCCATATTTCGGAGGATGAGAACAATAAAAGGGGAGAATGGGTAAAAAAACAAAAACAAAACCTGAAAGAGAGGAGAGGAAAATGGAGAAGGAAGAGAGAAAGGGGAGGAGGTGTTCTTACACACTGTCATTGCCAAAAACAAGTTTGAAAGCTTTAAGACAGGGTGAAATTCGATCACTTGTTAGTCTTGACTCTACTAAAACGTATTTTTAAAAAAGACCCTCTAGCCTTTTTGGCAATCATTTTCCCCAAAGCCTCCCAAAATAATCACATGTAAGAGCCAAATAAACACCAAATTTCAATCTCTCCTTGGCCCAGAGGATGCCAAGTTGGTGTTTTATTACCCAAAGTTTTTTTGGAATTGGCATATTCAAATTCAGACCCTCATCTTCCTTACTCTAGAAAAGAGAACAGACAATGTGGATTTTTTTTATTAAAAGAACCCTTTATTGTGTAAAAACAGAGGTTTTACCCAGAGAACTGTTTTAATAGCCCTGAGAGGGCTTATGGATGAGGAAATAAGGCTCAGGGAGGTAAATAATTTGCTCCAGGTTCTTACAGACTGCACATGATGGAGACACTGAAACCAGATCAGTCTGACCACAAGGATTTCCCTCTTTCCTCTATGCTTAATGTAAAGACTCATTGCCAAAACTGATAGAGAAAGGGAACTAAATGAAATCGCTAATACCTTTAAAAAGCTTTCTCAGCATTGTGTTAGAAGCTTTCTCTACAATAACCCCATGGAGCAGGTGTTGTCATTATTTCCATCTACAATCAAGGAAGCTCAGAGGGGTTCCTTGTTTCACCTTGATATGCAAGTAGAAATAGAGAAGGCAGAAATATTGAGTAAATAAGAGAGAGAAACACAGATGCAAGCTGTAAGTGGGCCAAGGGAAAGGGCAACCACCTTTGCAAGAGGAACCTGGTACCCAAGGTCCACAGGCTTTGCTCTCTGGAAGAGAGGGAAATGGGAAGGGAGGTCTCTGAAGGTGCTCACAAGTACGGGGTGGGTGGGGGAACGGGATGATTAATTTATACTAATGAAAATAGAATGAGTCATGAGTGTCACAGCCAATAAAAATGGCAGGGATGATTAGACAGCCAATAAATCATTTCTGAGCATTAAACTTTCTGCTTCCTCAAGGTTTGAGATTGTCAAAGGCAAGGCTAGAAGCCCCCAAGCATGTTCTGATAAGTTAACAAGACGCCCTCCACTTTGTGAACCCAAAAGTATCTGAGACAAATCTCAATCAATTTAGAAAGTTTATTTTCCCAAGGTTAAGGACGCACCCGTGACACAGCCTCAAGAGGTCCTGATGGCAAGTGCTCAAGGTGGTCGGGGCACAGCTTGCTTCTATACATTTTAGGGAGACACGAGACATCAATCAATACATGTAAGGTTAATACTGATTTGATCCGGATGGGTGAGAAAACTCAAAGCAGGGGCTTCCAGATCGTAGGTAGATTTAAAAATTTTCTGATTGACAATTGGTTGAAAGTGTTATTATCAATAGAAAAGAATGTCTGGGTTAGGATAAGGAGTTGTGGAGACCAAGGTTTTAATATGCAGATGAAGCCTCCACTTAGCAGGCTTCAGAGAGAATAGACTGTAAACATTTCTTATGAGACTTAAGGTTTGTTGATGTTAGTATTGGTTGGCTTGTCCTGAATTCCAAAAGGGAGGACTGTATAAGGGGGAATGTCTTACCCACACCCTTCCCATCATGGCCTGAACTGGTTTTTCAGGTTAAATTTGGAATGCCTTTGGCCAAGAGAAGGGGTCCATTCAGATGGCGGGGGGCCTTAGAATTTTATTTTTTGTTTACAACTTTTAAATTCAAAAAATTCATTAGGCCTTTAAAACACTTCCAATCTCTCACTCAGTGTCACATCCTACCTTCATGTATATTCTGTTAGGCAGTGTTGTCCAAAGTTACCTGATCATATACTACCTAGGCACTTGTTAACATACAAATTCCCACATCTCCCATGGAGATTCTGATTCATTAGGCTGAAAACTAGAAGACCTGGGGATACATGTTTTGAACAAATCATTCAGGTAATTCCTATACTCCAACTAATTTGGAAAAATTGCTTTAATAGGATTCTCACAAGAACTTTGCAAAATAGGTATAACAATCTCCATGCTATAGACAAAAAGAGTGACAATCAAAGAAGGGAAGAGACTTGCCCAAGGTCACACAACTAGTGTGGCAAAATCAAAGCCGGTAAGTCATATTGTTAGTCCACCGTGTGTATGCATGCCACCACACTTTATCTGAGCCACAGCTAACTTCAAAAAGCCCTCTCCTTGGTGCCTGAATATGGCACCGGAAACCAGGAAATGGGACACAGAATACCCAGAGCCATCAGAAAGAATCAGGGAGGCAGTCAAAGTGCTGAGTAAAATGTCAAAGAAAAAGAGAAGGAAAGCCACGTTCTCCTCCATCTCTTGTTCCAGCTTTGAGTCCTCTGGATTTGCAGGCCAATGGGGTATTGCCCATACACATGACAACTAGCACTGCTTGACTAACAAACAAGACCATTTGGCCAAAATGATCAAAACATTTCTTTCACGGATGTACAATGATGAAAAAACCTAGAGAAAGATTCTCTCAGAAATAACTTTGAACAATTAACATCACACCAAAAGAGGAATGCCCAAGATGATATCCTCACCTACACACTGCCCTCCCCACTGATGATAACCATAATGGTGACTAATTACACCTTCCAGGGTAAAGTTGAGAACACTCCTCCAGGGACCTCCTGCCAGAGATGGCATGTACCTGAGGTTTGCAGAGGCCATTTTCACAAGCATATGCATCTCTCTGCCCCAGGACCTTTGGCTAATGATTGTTTCACCGCAAGGAGGTTCGGGGTTGCTGACATTAAGAATGACATGCTTCTGAAATGTTCTCTGCTGTCTCCCTGCTGGAAGCCCCCGCTGCTGAATTATCACACCCTATCAACTCACTACAAAAAAGAATGAGATAGGAGAAATGGTACTGCTATTTCCCGCTTCCCTTGAATTCAAACAAGAAGGAAAGAGGGTAAGATCTGACCCCTCTCTGAATAAGCTGATTTTAAGATACAATACCTGCCTCCCTAATTACTAGAGGTTTATCTATCCTCTGGGAAATGATTCCCTTCTTCACAGGTTTGTTCAACCCAGATTCTAAATCTTTTTCAAGATGAGAAGACCTGCCTTGACCTTAGGCATCTCCTTAAATCTGAGGTCATCATGACAAGAGGCTCGTCATACTTAAAGATTTCATGTCCAACCTGTCTATGTAACCCCACACATACACTCACTCTGTTAATTATAGTAGCCACAATTTCACACTCAATGAGTATTTTATACAAGTCTCTATTGTGTAGCATATGCTCTATTTTTAACATTCATAACTTACTGAAAAATAGTTGTTGACTTCAACATATATACTTCTACAGTATGGGATAACTGAGGTACATTTACATAAAAAGCAAACAAGTACATAACACATCCATCCAGCTGAATCAGCTTCCTTGAAAAATGTATCTCCTAGTTAATATTAGAGGCCAAAATATACACACACACACACACACACACACACACACACACACACACACGAGTTATACATCACACAATGACATTCCAGTCAATAACAGACTGCATATATGACAGTGGTCCCATAAGATATTAATGGAGCTGAAAAATTCCTATCACCTAGTGACATCTTGATGATCCTGACCCTGTGTAGGCCTTGGATAATGTGTATGTTTGTATCTCAGCTTTTAACAGAAAAGTTTAAAAAGTGAAAAAAAAGTTAATAGAAAAAAGCTTATTGAATCAATATTGTGAAAATGGCCATACCGCCCAAGGTAATTTATAGATTCAATGCCATCCCCATCAAGCTACCAATGACTTTCTTCACAGAATTGGAAAAAAACTACTTTAAAGTTCACATGGAACCGAAAACGAGCCCACATTGCCAAGACAATCCTAAGCCAAAAGAACAAAGCTGGAGGCATCACGTTACCTGACTTCAAACTATATTACAAGGCTACAGTAACCAAAACAGCATGGTACTGGTACCAAAACAGAGATATAGACCAATGGAAAAGAACAGAGCCCTCAGAAATAATGCCACATATCTACAACCATCTGATCTTTGACAAACCTGAGAAAAACAAGAAATGGGGAAAGGATTCCCTATTTAATAAATGGTGCTGGGAAAACTGGCTAGCCATATGGAGAAAGCTGAAACTGGATTCCTTCCTTACACCCTATACAAAAATTAATTCAAGATGGATTAAAGACTTACATGTTAGAACTAAAACCATAAAAACCCTAGAAGAAAGCCAGGCAATACCATTCAGGACATAGGCATGGGCAAGGACTTCATGTCTAAAACACCAAAAGCAATGGCAACAAAAGCCAAAATTGACAAATGGGATCTCATTAAACTAAAGAGCTTCTGGACAGCAAAAGAAACTACCATCAGAGTGAACAGGCAACTTACAGAATGGGAGAAAATTTTTGCAATCTACTCATCTGACAAAGGACTAATATCCAGAATCTACAAAGAACTCAAACAAATTTACAAGAAAAACACAACCCCATCAAAAAGGGGGCAAAGGATATGAACAGACACTTCTCAAAAGAAGACATTTATGCAGCCAGAAGACACATGAAAAAATGCTCATCATCACTGGCCATCAGAGAAATGCAAATCAAAACCACAATGAGATATCATCTCACACCAGTTAGGATGGCGATCTTTAAAAAGTCAGGAAACAACAGGTGCCGGAGAGGATGTGGAGAAATGGGAACACTTTTACACTGTTGGTGGGACTGTAAACTAGTTCAACCATTGTGGAAGTCAGTGTGGCGATTCCTCAGGGATCTAGAACTAGAAATACCATTTGACCCAGCCATTCCATTACTGGGTATATACCCAAAGGATTATAAATCATGCTGCTATAAAGACACATGCACATGTATGTTTATTGTGGCACTATTCACAATAGCAAAGACTTGGAATCAACCCAAATGTCCATGAATGATAGACTGGATTAAGAAAATGTGGCACATATACACCATGGAATACTATGCAGCCATAAGAAAGGATGAGTTCATGTCCTTTGGAGGGACACGGATGAAGCTGGAAACCATCATTCTCAGCAATCTATCGCAAGGACAAAAAACCAGACACTGCATGTTCTCACTCATAGGTGGGAATTGAACAATGAGAACACATGGACACAGGAAGGGGAACATCACACACTGGGGCCTGTTGTGGGGTGGGGAGGCGGGGGATAGCATTAGGAGATATACCTCATGTAAATGACGAGTTAATGGGTGCAGCACACCAACATGGCACATGTATACATAATTAACAAACCTGCAGGTTGTGCACATGTACCCTAGAACTTAAAGTATAATGAAAAAAAAAGAAAAAAGCATATTGAATAAGAATACAAAGAAAATATTTTTGTACAGCTGTATAATGTGTTTGTGTTTTAAGATAAGTGTTATTACAAAAAAGTCAAAAAGTTTAAAAGTTTATGAAGTAAAAAATGTTACAGTAAGCAAAGGATAATTATTAAACAAATTTTTAAAATAAATTTAGTGTAGCTTACAGGTACAGTGTTTATAAAGTCTATAGAAGTGTACAGTAATATCCTAGGCCTCTGCATTCAATCACCACTCACTCACTGACTCACCCAGAGAAACTTCTAGTCCTGCAAGTTTCATTCATTGTAAGTGCCCTATATGAGTATACTACTTTTTATCTTTTACATTGTATTTTTATGATATCTTTTCTATGTTTAGATATACAAATAAGTACCACTGTGCACAATGGCCTACAGTATTCAGTACAGTAACATGCTCTACAGGTTTGTAGCCAAGCAGCAATAGGCTATACCATACAGCCTAGGTATGTAGTAGAATACACTATCTAGATTTGTGAAAGTATACTCTATGATGTTTGCAACAATAATGAAATTGCCTAACAACACATTCTCTGAATGTATCCCTGTCCTTAAGGAATGCGTGACTCTGTGTGTGTGTGTGTGTGTGTGTGTGTGTGTTTATTTTTTCCTTTTATTCATCATGTAAAAAGTGCCTTTGGAAAAATCCACATTTCACTCTGGATTTTTCATATCTCCTTCAAATATGACCAATTTTAATGAATGGTCTTCACCTTGGATACTCACATTCCAGGGCTCTTAGGAACAACAGTGTTTGGGCATGTGCAGTGGAGGTCGAAGATAGATTCAAGATGTTTCATGTATGCAAAATCACATGCAGATGTACCAAAAGTATATCCAGTCAAAGAGAGTTAAGAAAGCAATATATAGACAGACATCCAAGAATGGAAGAACGCAAACACAATCCAACTTGTAATTAACATACCGTGCTGTGACACCTGTTGCCTTCCACGATAAGAAGTCCGGGAGATCAAAGAAATGTCCCGCCTTATCCCAGCAAATCTCTCTCAAGTTCTGCCAAATTAAATATATATTAGAATCAATTAGGGGGTTTTTCTACCATCTCCTCTTTCAATAATGTTTCAAATTTTTCAAAACAAAAGCATAGCCAACAATGCCCATTGAAACATCTGTTCAGGAGCTTGGTGGGGGTAGGAATAATATAAAAGCAGTACTTATACAGGAAAGAAAAACTGACAATGCTTGATCCTTCCAAAAATGATCGTAATTTCCCTTAAAACCCTCTTTGCCAACCTGGAAGGATAGAAAGCTGTGTTAGTCCATTTTCACACTGCTGATAAAGACATACCCGAGACTGGGTAATTTTAAAGAAAAATAGGTTTAATGGACTCACAGTTTCGCGTGGCTGGGGAGGCCTCACAATCGTGGCAGCAGACCACAGAGAGAAATGAGAGCCCAGAGAAAGGGAAAACCTCTTATAAAACCATCAGATCTTGTGAGACTTACTCACTACCACGAGAACAGCATGGGGAAAACTGCCCTCATGATTCAATTATCTCCCACCAGGTCCCTCCCACAACATGAGAGAATTATGGGAGCTACAATTGAAGATGAAATTTGGGTGGGGACACAGCCAAACCATATCAAAAGCACAGTCTGTAAGGTATGCAATCCATTTTCCCAGTGAATGGTGATGGACATATAAGATTTCAGAGCAGATATAAGCTGGAAAGAAGCTGTACTCAGAAACTGCCCAATGAAACTAAATGTCCCCTGCCATATAAAATTCTCCACATGCCAACTGGTTACAAAGGCAATAGAAAAAAGATGATAGTCCCTGCCCTCAAAGAACTTCCAGTCTAAGTCAAAGAGAATGGCCACATAAGCAAGCCATTGTACATTTTAAAGATTTGGTTCTCTGTATTGCAAAATGGCCAGGCTTTTTCTTACTGCTGGGCATTTTCTTTACTTTGCCACTTCTGCCTAAAACATTCATTCCTCACCCACCACCCTGTGCCCTCCCAGGATCAACATCATCCCCTTCCTCATTTGGTTAACCCTACACACCACCATTCCTTGAGGGGGTTTCCAGGATCTCCTGGAAATCAAAGCCGGTAAGTCATATTGTTAGTTTAGGTCTAGTTGTCATACAACCCATACCACCCCCACAATCATTTGTGTAATGTTGATATGGTTTGGCTGTGTCTTCACTCAAATCTCATCTTGAATCGTAGTTCCCATAATCCCCAAGTGTCATAGGAGGTACCCTGTAGGAGGTAATTGAATCATGGGAGTGGTTACCTCCATGCTGTTCTCATGATAGCGAGTGAGTTCTCACAAGATCTCATGGTTTTATAAGGGGCTTCCCCTGCTTTCACTCTGCACTTCTCTCTCCTGCCACCAAATACAGAAGGATGTGTTTGCTTCTCCTTCCACCATGATTGTAAGTTTCCTGAGGCCTCCCCAGCCATGCTGAACTGTGAGTCAATTAAATCTCTTTCCTTTATAAATTACCCAGTCTCGGGTATGTTTTTATTAGCAGTGTAAGACCAGACTAATACAAAAGTCTTTCTTTCCTGACAGACTGACTATAAGCTCTGTGAGGTCAAGGATCTTGTCAGTCATGTTCACCATGACATTGGATGATTGTCTCCTCTTCTCCACCCCAACTGAGAGGACCCTCAGCTGCCAAGCAGAAACTACTTAACTCTCATCCCCTTACTACAAGCACTTGGTTGGACCAGGTTTAGGCATGTGACCTAGTTGTACCAACCAGATTTCTTCTCCCAAGAACTTAGAATCAGGACCCAAATGGAACCATTTCACTTCTGCCTATGAATGGAACTGGAGGTGAGATAAACTTGAAAAGCATGAAGTGGCCATTTTCTGTCAAACACCTGAAGAGGTAGAATTTCAAAAACAGAATAGTAAAGAAGACAGAGGAACTAGCAAGAAAGGTTTCCTACCATCCAGATAACTTTCCATGTCCTGGTTTCTATTACTCCCTCTCCAAAAAGCTATAAAAGGAATTATAAGCATAGGAGTATCTCTGGGAACCTAAAGGCAACAATGCAGAAGTTCCAAAAGAGGCATATTTCAGTACCTGCCGCAGGGTAACACACAGTAGGAACTCAATAAATATTTGTTGAATTACTAGACAAACTGCTCAGCTTCACCTTCCAATTCCTCTTATGTGAGGGGTGCTTCAGTTTATAAAGGGCTTCCACATGTGTTATCTCCTTAGAGCAACACAAAAGTCCTGGGTATTATTATATCTATTTTATATACAACTGGCCTTTATCAGAATTCTGTGAGTTCCTCCTACATAGTGCTTCCCTAACACTACTATATAAACACCAACATCTATTTACAGCAGATAAACGGTACTATCCCAAGTGCTGGCCCTATCAAAACAATATCAAAAGAGTTCAGATCTAAAAGGCAAAGTATCAAGCTGATTCTCTGTTACTGTTGTTGTTTTAACTTCCTAAACATCTAGGTGAAAGCTTGTGTCTAGAAAGGGACCTGCCCTAAACTTCTCTTTGAACGCCCATTCTAAGATGTTAATGTTAAATCAAGCAAAACTTAAAGATACTAAATATTCCTAACACAGCTAAGAACTAGTAGTATCTCTGTATAGGATCTAACAAGCCACAGTCAGAAAATGGTAGCCTTTGAGACGATGTGAATCAAACTACCAGAATGGCTTTTGGCTAGTCCCTGAAATCTATTTCCATATGTCTTGTGGTTTCAGCAATCAGTGGTCAGGGAGAGGAGAAAAGGCAGCCTCTTTCTAAAGGTTCCAGAAATCAAAGGCCAGTGACCAGATATGAACCGCCAAACCACCGCAGCAACAACCAGTGCTTCAAGCCAAAGCACAACAATCTTCTTAAATTCAGGCAAAAAAAAAAAAAAAAAAAAACTACTTTAGATCTTGTGTGTGGTCATTAAAGACATTATATAACGACAGCTTTTAGCCTGTAGCCACACAGCCAGCCACTGTGGGACAACAGAACCCAAGTAGAATGTCACAAAGAACTCAAGCCTTTTGCCAAAAAGAGACACTGGGAATAGGAGGAGCAAGGAGTCCCTGCGTTCTTTCTTTTTGAGACCACACTAACCGTCACCAATCAAAGCTGGAGATCCCAGTCCAACCTCTCCTCTCTAAGGAGATAACACATGTGGAAGCCCTCTATAACCTCTGAAGTACTCCTCACATAACAGGAACTGGAAGATGAAGCTGAGCAGTTTGTCTAGTAATTCAACAAATATTTGTGGGATGAGCAACTAGAAATAACATGTTGTGGGAAGTCTGAGGTACTCTTAAGTATGCACATGGTCTCAGAAGGGAAGATAGCAATATTCCCTGCTTTCTCTACAAAAGAAAAGTCTGGAGATAGGCCAGCAAAGAGGAATAAGGACTGAATGAGAGGAAATGTCTCCAGAAGCCTGATCCCTTACCTTGAGATGCCAGCAGGCATCTGTGAGGATCCCATGCAGTTTTTTTTTGTTTGTTTCTTTTTTTTTTTTTTTTTTCTTTTTTGAGATGGAGTCTCACTCTATCGCCAGGCTGGAGTGTAGTGGTGCGATCTCAGCTCACTGCAACCTCTGCACCCCGGGTTCAAGAGATTCTCCTGCCTCAGCCTCCCGAGTAGCTGGGAACACAGGTGCATGCCACCACACCCTGCCATTTTTTTTTTTTTTGATGAAAACTAGGTGGATTTTTTTTTATTATTATTATACTTTAAGTTTTAGGGTACATGTGCACAATGTGCAGGTTAGTTACCTGTGTATACATGTGACATGCTGGTGCGCTGCACCCACTAACTCGTCATCTAGCATTAGGTATATCTCACAATGCTATCCCTCCCCCCTCCCCCCTCCCCCCACCCCACAACAGTCCCCAGAGTGTGATGTTCCCCTTCCTGTGACCATGTGTTCCCATTGTTCAATTCCCACCTATGAGTGAGAATATGCGGTGTTTGGTTTTTTGTTCTTGCGATAGTTTACTGAGAATGATGATTTCCAATTTCATCCATGCCCCTACAAAGGACATGATGTGAACTCAACATTTTTATGGCTGCATAGTATTCCATGGTGTATATGTGCCACATTTTCTTAATCCAGTCTATCATTGTTGGACATTTGGGTTGGTTCCAAGTCTTTCCTATTGTGAACAGTGCCGCAATAAACATACGTGTGCATGTGTCTTTATAGCAGCATGATTTATAGTCCTTTGGGTATATACCCAGTAATGGGATGGCTGGGTCAAATGGTATTTCTAGTTCTAGATCCCTGAGGAATCGCCACACTGACTTCCACAATGGTTCAACTAGTTTACAGTCCCAACAACAGTGTAAAAGTGTTCCTATTTCTCCACATCCTCTCCAGCACCTGTTGTTTCCTGACTTTTTAAAGATCACCATTCTAACTGGTGTGAGATGATATCTCATTGTGGTTTTGATTTGCATTTCTCTGATGGCCAGTGATGGTGAGCATTTTTTCATGTGGTTTCTGGCTGCATAAATGTCTTCTTTTGAGAAGTGTCTGTTCATGTCCTGCACCCACTTTTTGATGGGGTTGCTTGTTTTTTTCTTGTAAATTTGTTTGAGTTCATTGTAGATTCTGGATATTAGCCCTTTGTCAGATGAGTAGGTTGTGAAAATTTTCTGCCATTTTGTGGGTTGCCTGTTCACTCTGATGGTAGTTTCTTTTGCTGTGCAGAAGCTCTTTAGTTTAATGAGATCCCATTTGTCAATTCTGGCTTTTGTTGCCATTGCTTTTGGTGTTTTAGACATGAAGTCCTTGCCCATGCCTATGTCCTGAATGGTATTGCCTGGGTTTCTTCTAGGGTTTTTATGGTTTTAGGTCTAACGTTTAAGTCTTTAATCCATCTTGAATTAATTTTTGTATAGGGTGTAAGGAAGGGATCCAGTTTCAGCTTTCTCCTGGCTAGCCAGTTTTCCCAGCACCATTTATTAAATAGGGAATCCTTTCCCCATTGCTTGTTTTTCTCAGGTTTGTCAAAGATCAGATAGTTGTAGATATGCGGCGTTATTTCTGAGGGCTCTGTTCTGTTCCATTGATCTATATCTCTGTTTTGGTACCAGTACCATGCTGTTTTGGTTACTGTAGACTTGTAGTATAGTTTGAAGTCAGGTAGCGTGATGCCTCCAGCTTTGTTCTTTTGGCTTAGGATTGACTTGGGGATGCGGGCTCTTTTTTGGTTCCATATGAACTTTAAAGTAGTTTTTTCCAATTCTGTGAAGAAAGTCATTGGTAGCTTGATGGGGATGGCACTGAATCTATAAATTACCTTGGGCAGTATGGCCATTTTCACGATATTGATTCTTCCTATCCATGAGCATGGAATGTTCTTCCATTTGTTTATATCCTCTTTAATTTCCTTGAGCAGTGGTTTGTAGTTCTCCTTGAAGAGGTCCTTCATGTCCCTTGTAAGCTGGATTCCTAGGTATTTTATTCTCTTTGAAGCAATTGTGAATGGGAGTTCACTCATGATTTGGCTGTTTGTCTGTTATTGGTGTATAAGAATGCTTGTGATTTTTGTACATTGATTTTGTATCCTGAGACTTTGCTGAAGTTGCTTATCAGCTTAAGGGGATTTTGGGCTGAGACAATGGGGTTTTCTAGATACACAATCATGTCGTCTGCAAACAGGGACAATTTGACTTCCTCTTTTCCTAATTGAATACCCATTCTTTCCTTCTCCTGCCTAATTGCCCTGGCCAGAACTTCCAACACTATGTTGAATGGGAGTGGTGAGAGAGGGCATCCCTGTCTTGTGCCAGTTTTCAAATGGAATGCTTCCAGTTTTTGCCCATTCAGTGTGATATTAGCTGTGGGTTTGTCATAGATAGCTCTTATTATTTTGAGATATGTCCCATCAATACCTAATTTATTGAGAGTTTTTAGCATGAAGGGTTGTTGAATTTTGTCAAAGGCCTTTTCTGCATCTATTGAGATAATCATGTGGTTTTTGTCTTTGGTTCTGTTTATATGCTGGATTACATTTATTGATTTGCGTATATTGGACCAGCCTTACATCCCAGGGATGACGGCCACTTGATCATGGTGGATAAGCTTTTTGATGTGGTGCTGGATTCAGTTTGCCAGTATTTTATTGAGGATTTTTGCATCAATGTTCATCAAGGATATTGGTCTAAAATTCTCTTTTTTAATTGTGTCTCTGCCAGGCTTTGGTATCAGGATGATACTGGCCTCATAAAATGAGTTAGGGAGGATTCCCTCTTTTTCTATTGATTGGAATAGTTTCAGAAGGAATGGTACCAGCTCCTCCTTGTACCTCTGGTAGAATTCGGCTGTGAATCCATCTGGTCCTGGACTCTTTTTGGTTGGTAAGCTATTAATTATTGCCACAATTTCAGAGCCTGTTATTAGTCTATTCAGAGATTCAACTTCTTCCTGGTTTAGTCTTGGGAGAGTGTATGTGTCAAGTAATTTATCCATTTCTTCTAGATTTTCTAGTTTATTTGCGTAGAGGTGTTTGTAGTATTCTCTGATGGTAGTTTGTATTTCTGTGGGATCGGTGGTGATATTCCCTTTATCATTTTTAATTGCGTCTATTTGATTCTTCTTTTTTTCTTTATTAGTCTTGCTAACGGTCTATCAATTTTGTTGATCCTTTCAAAAAACCAGCTCCTGGATTCATTAACTTTTTGAAGGGTTTTTTGTGTCTCGATTTATCGCCTTCAGTTCTGCTCTGATCTTAGTTATTTCTCGCCTTCTGCTAGCTTTTGAATGTGTTTGCTCTTGCTTTTCTAGTTCTTTTAATTGTGATGTTAGGGTGTCAATTTTGGATCTTTCCTGCTTTCTCTTGTGGGCATTTAGTGCTATAAATTTCCCTCTACACACTGCTTTGAACGTGTCCCAGAGATTCTGGTATGTTGTGTCTGTGTTCTCATTGGTTTCAAAGAACATCTTTATTTCTGCCTTCATTTCGTTATGTACCCAGTAGTCATTCAGGAGCAGGTTGTTCAGTTTCCATGTAGTTGAGCAGTTTTGAGTGAGTTTCTTAATCCTGAGTTCTAGTTTGATTGCACTGTGGTCTGAGAGACAGTTTGTTATAATTTCTGTTCTTTTACATTTGCTGAGGAGAGCCTTACTTCCAACCATGTGGTCAATTTTGGAATAGGTGTGGTGCGGTGCTGAAAAAAAATGTATATTCTGTTGATTTGGGGTGGAGAGTTCTGTGGATGTCTATTAGGTCTGCTTGTTGCAGAGCTGAGTTCAATTCCTGGGTATCCTTGTTGACTTTCTGTCTCGTTGATCTGTCTAATGTTGACAGTGGGGTGTTAAAGTCTCCCATTATTAATGTGTGGGAGTCTAAGTCTCTTTGTAGTTCTCTAAGGACTTGCTTTATGAATCTGGGTGTTCCTGTATTGGGTGCATATATATTTAGGAGAGTTAGCTCTTCCTGTTGAATTGATCCCTTTACCATTATGTAATGGCCTTCTTTGTCTCTTTTGATCTTTGTTGGTTTAAAGTCTGTTTTATCAGAGACTAGGATTGCAACCCCTGCCTTTTTTTGTTTTCCATTTGCTTGGTAGATCTTCCTCCATCCTGTTATTTTGAGCCTATGTGTGTCTCTGCATGTGAGATGGGTTTCCTGAATACAACACACTGATGGGTCTTGACTCTTTATCCAACTTGCCAGTCTGTGTCTTTTAATTGGAGCACTTAGTCCATTTACATTTAAAGTTAATATTGTTATGTGTGAATTTGATCCTGTCATTATGATGTTAGCTGGTGATTTTGCTCGTTAGTTGATGCAGTTTCTTCCTAGTCTCGATGGTCTTTACATTTTGCCATGATTTTGCAGTGGCTGGTACCAGTTGTGCCTTTCCATGTTTAGTGCTTCCTTCAGGAGCTATTTTAGGTCCGACCTGGTGGTGACAAAATCTCTCAGCATTTGCTTGTCTGTAAAGTATTTTATTTCTCCTTCACTTATGAAGCTTAATTTGGCTGGATATGAAATTCTGGGTTGAAAATTCTTTTCTTTAAGAATGTTGAATATTGGCCCCCACTCTCTTCTGGCTTGTAGAGTTTCTGCCAAGAGATCCGCTGTTAGTCTGATGGGCTTCCCTTTGTGGGTAACCTGACCTTTCTCTCTGGCTGCCCTTAACATTTTTTCCTTCATTTCAACTTTGGTGAATCTGACAATTATGTGTCTTGGAGTTGCTCTTCTCGAGGAGTATCTTTGTGGCGTTCTCTGTATTTCCTGAATCTGAATGTTGGCCTGCCTTGCTAGATTGGGGAAGTTCTCCTGGATAATATCCTGCAGAGTGTTTTTCAGTTTGGTTCCATTCTCCCCGTCACTTTCAGGTACACCAATCAGACGTAGATTTGGTCTTTCCACATAGTCCCATATTTCTTGGAGGCTTTGTTTGTTTCTTTTTATTCTTTTTTCTCTAAACTTCCCTTCTCGCTTCATTTCATTCATTTCATCTTCCATCGCTTTCTTCCAGGTGATCGCATCGTCTCCTGAGGCTTCTGCATTCTTCACGTGGTTCTCGAGCCTTGGCTTTCAGCTCCATCAGCTCCTTTAAGCACTTCTCTGTATTGGTTATTCTAGTTATACATTCATCTAGATTTTTTTCAAAGTTTTTAACTTCTTTGCCTTTGGTTTGAATTTCCTCCAGTAGCTCGGAGTAGTTTCATCTTCTGAAGCCTTCTTCTCTCAACTCGTCAAAGTCATTCTCCATCCAGCTTTGTTCCATTGCTGGTGAGGAACTGCGATCCTTTGGAGGAGGAGAGGGGCTCTGCTTTTTAGAGTTTCCAGTTTTTCTGCTCTGTTTTTTCCCCATCTTTGTGGTTTTATCTACTTTTGGTCTTTGATGATGGTGATATACAGATGGGTTTTTGGTGTGGATGTCCTTTCTGTTTGTTAGTTTTCCTTCTAACAGACAGGACCCTCAGCTGCAGGTCTGTTGGAGTTTGCTAGACGTCCACTCCAGACCCTGTTTGCCTGGGTATCAGCAGCGGTGTCTGCAGAACAGTCGTTTTTCGTGAACCGTGAATGCTGCTGTCTGATCATTCTTCTGGGAGTTTTGTCTCAGAGGAGTATCCGGCCGTGTGAGGTGTCAGTCTGCCCCTACTGGGGGGTGCCTCCCAGTTAGGCTGCTCGGGGGTCAGGGGTCAGGGACCCACTTGAGGAGGCAGTCTGCCCCTTCTCAGATCTCCAGCTGCGTGCTGGGAGAACCACTGCTCTCTTCAAAGCTGTCAGAGAGGGACATTTAAGTCTGCAGAGGTTACTGCTGTCTTTTTGTTTGTCTGTGCCCTGCCCCCAGAGGTGGAGCCTACAGAGGCAGGCAGGCCTCCTTGAGCTGTGGTGGGCTCCACCCAGTTGAGCTTCCAGGCTGCTCTGTTTACCTAAGCAAGCCTGGGCAATGGCGGGCGCTCCTCCCCCAGCCTCGCTGCCGCCTTGCAGTTTGATCTCAGACTGCTGTGCTAGCAATCAGCGAGACTCCGTGGGCGTACGACCCTCCGAGCCATGTGCAGGATATAATCTCCTGGTGCGCCGTTTTTTAAGCCCGTCGGAAAAGCGCAGTATCGGGTGGGAGTGACCCGATTTTCCAGGTGCCGTCTGTCACCCCTTTCTTTGACTAGGAAAGGGAACTCCCTGACCCCTTGCGCTTTCCGAGTGAGGCAATGCCTCGCCCTGCTTCGGCTTGCGCACAGTGCGCTGCACCCACTGACCTGCGCCCACTGTCTGGCACTCCCTAGTGAGATGAACCTAGTACCTCAGATGGAAATGCAGAAATCACCCGTCTTCTGCGTTGCTCACACTGGGAGCTGTAGACCGGAGCTGTTCCTGTTCAGCCATCTTGGCTCCTCCCCGAGACAGGGCTTCACTATGTTGGCCAGGCTGGTCGTGAACTCCTGACCTTGTGATCCACCCACTTCGGCCTCCCAAAGTGCTGGTATTACAGGCGTGAGCCACCATGCCCAGCCACATGCAGTTTTTTATATTAGGCTACCTGATTCACAAGTGCTTTGTCATCAAATGCCATATTGGCCAACAGCACATTACCCCCATAGATGGATTTTTAGTCTAGTTCTGCAGAAAAATCTCTCTGTCCCTCCTCCTCTCTGGCCCATACAATCCCAGCCAAAGGCCTCAATCTTACTGAATTAATTCTCTACTTGTAACCACTGGGCCTGCATTAGGACACAGTGATCGTCCTCTAAGTCCTCCACAGTTTACAACAGTGTTCTCATTTAATCTACAGAGTGATGCAGAGGCGTGTAGGTAATACACAATACTCACACATTAAGGAACTGGGGGTCAGACCACAAGGGCTTAGCCCAAAGTCACAGGGCTTCCAGCTCTAAAGTAAATGTTCTTTCCTTCCACTATGCCACAGTTACCACCCTGAACCTCCCAGTCCAATCAGAGGTGTGATTTTGGGCCTTTTGGAAATGTCATAATGGAAGCTATTGCCACTCTTTACAGAAGAAAAGACAAACAAAAGCCCTTCTAAGCACATTTCCGTACAATTTCAATCCTGGACAGCTCATGTAACTCCTATGTACTTATCATCTCCCATGCACAATGTTGCACGGATTAGAGAGTGCAAGGAGCAGGCCCTCGACACACACC
Source organism: Homo sapiens (assembly GCF_000001405.40). Taxonomy (NCBI): domain Eukaryota; kingdom Metazoa; phylum Chordata; class Mammalia; order Primates; family Hominidae; genus Homo; species Homo sapiens. Next base: position 59,368,160 of record NC_000001.11, on the reverse strand, counting down.
AATTTCAGATGTATCTCATTAGGTGATGGCCTAATAGAGTTCAAACTAGGAGCTCTCTGTGCTGAATGAGTTAAGTCTTTCTATCCTCCAGTTACCAGGCAACTAACAAAAACTAGTCTTTTCAAGAAAAAAAGAAAAGTGATTTGGGTTATATGACTTGGCACAAAAGCCTTCTGCATTCCAACAACAATCCTTTGAGTTAAGCAATCCCTCAGCTTAAAGCAACCAAAGAGAACAGCTTTTTTTAAAAAAAAGAAAAAATTATTACTTCATCAAACCACAGCATTTGTTGGGAGGAGGCTACTACTCAAAGCTCACACAGCTGTGGGTCTAAGCAGAGGGCGGAGGTAGGGCAGTATGTCCAAGATTCAAGGCTGCAGCCGCCCTGCCAGCCTCAGGACAGAGAGAAGTAGCTTTCACCCTTTCCCTCCCACTCCAGGGAAGCTGTGAGGTTTCTGCTGCTTCTAGACACCTAGGGAACTCGTGAGGGAAATGAGGCAGCTACTGCAGTGACACCAGGGTCGAGGGGCAACATGAGAAGATAGGCATGACCAGTTACAAAGGATTATCCAAGTAATCTACTGTGTAATTGCAAAGGGATTCTATCTGGGTTATCTGCTGTGAGCAGTAAACAAAAGGGAGGGAACAGCTCCCTAATTCCCCACTCAATAAATAGTACTGCCTGTACATTCCAAGTACTCATGCTGTTGTTTTCCAGCACAACTACCCAAGAAAGAGCTAGACCTTATCCTCACTCTATGTTCAAGACTCCAAATTAGGGCACAGGCCAATAGCCCAGAGAGAAAAGAGTTTCAGGAAGAGACGTAATCTTCAATGTCATTCTTAAAAGAAATATGACGCTGGAAGCATGGAGTAGGTCATAAACCTCAGCCAGAAACTTCTCAGAATGAATAAAATAATTGTGTGTTTCAAACTCCCATGCACAGAGACAGAACATCAGAAATATTTCAAGTCAGATAGGCAGATAAGCTGAGAGGTCTGCACTACTAGAGGCATCTTTCTAAAAACATAAAGCTTCCCATTCCATTCCTTTATTAAAGATGGTGCGACATCTCCTCATGGCCTAGAATCCCATTTTAACTCTGTAGTCTGGCTCTCAGGACTCTTAACCTGGCTCCAACTTGGCTGTGATCATTATGATGATGACTTTCTGGGCTCATCTCCTAACACCCTCCATTTGGTTCTCACCTCTTTTACTTTCCCAAATGCATTACACTTTCATATTTCCAGTCCTCTGTTACAGCTGGTATCTCTACTTGAATTGACTTTCCCATCTTCTCCCTTTATCAAACCTCTGCCCTTGATTCAAATCCAGCTCAGATGTCACCTTTTCTGTGAACCTCTCCATCCCATGCTGTACCCTAATTATTCATTGATATACCTAAATCTACCTTGAAATGACAAACTTCTGAAGGGCAAGAGCCAAGTCTAACTCATGAAAAAAAAAATGCAGAGTTTTGGGAGATATAAGAAAATCTAAAGCCAGGTCCTTTCGAGAGAAAGATGTACACAAAGGAAGAGATAATTAATAAGATGATATATGACAATAACGTAATAAGCCTGATACCAAGGTTTGATGAGTCAGCCTCATAACATTATTGTAATATTTTGTGTGTGGCCATATATCTGCCTCTAATGAGTAATCACAGACAGGGCTCAGAGCGGGGAAAGGGTTTGGGACCTGGGGAGGCTTTTCTAAAGGCTTTTCTAAAGGCTTCCGGGGAGAGATGCAAGCAGAGGCCTAAACATCAAGTGGAATAAATATTTATGTCACTGCCGAGAAAGACCCAAGAAACAAAAACCTGAATAGACAAGACGCATTACCCCCATTAGATGAGGACTTGTTTAACGGTAACATCATAGAATTTATTTGTAAAATGAAATAATTCCACTGTATAGTTTATTTAATTTTCAAAAACTGGATTTATATGCATCCCTTTCCCCTACTTTCCTCCCCCTGAAGGGCTTTGCTCTTCTTGTACGAAAAGAAAAACTTATAATCCACACTAGAGTTGATTTCCCAACCATAAAATATGCTATCATTTTAATGAAAACTCATCATACTCAGCAAAGCTGACTTTACCCAGGAGTGTGACACCACTGTACGTATTAGGAAAACAAGGCTGAAGTAGATGGGGTCTAAGAACTCTGGAGTCTGGCATACCTGATTTTGATTGCCGTCCTCACCACTTAACAGCTGTGTAGCTTTAGGTAAATTAATTTCTTTAAGCCCCAGTTTCCTCAAAGCCACATTCCTAGCATCTTCCCCCAAGGATGCTGTGAGAATTAAATGAAATAATATAAAGTGCCTGATAAGTCAACAAGATTCACTCTTCTGCTACAGAGTTTCACAGTTTTCAAAGCACTTTGACATGCATGATCTCATCTGACCTGTATAATTCTTCAAGGCAGGCAAGGCAAGGAGTCAGAAAACTATGCTTGCAGATTATGAACCTAAAGCCCAGGAAGGGACCAAGACTATCCCCAGGTCCCACACAACGGGTAAATGGAAAGTCAGACCAAATTTTGCATCGCTAATGCCCAGCCCAATGTTTGAGTTCAGTCATCTGCCTCTCTAAAACATAATATAATGCAGAAGTGCATTTCTTACTGGAGGAGATGAGAGAGATGCCACAGTGACCTGGATCAAGCCATGCCTTGTGGGTGGTACCATCTATGGGAGAGAGGGAGACAGTCCTAATAGGAAGAGAAGGCTTTGGAAAGGGTGAACAGGTCTTGGAGCAGACATGAAAGAAAGTCAAAGACTGGGACCAGGGGAGAAATGAGGAAGTCTTCCTCAACCTCTCACTCTCCGGGACCTTCTCACGCCCTTCTCATCAGTGCTTTTCTGTCTCCTTCATGGGCTCCTTTTCTTTAGCTGCTCTTTTCTTTAGCTGCTCCCCAGGGATCTTACCTCATCCAAATGTTCTTTTCACTGTTCCCATGCTCTCTGAGAAATATCAATCACTCCTGTGATTCCAACCAACTACACGCTGAATAACGTGCCAAATCTGAAACTCCAATTCAAACTCTCCTCTGAGACATGTCTCCTGGATGTCCCACTGTACCTCCAACTCAACACGTCCAAGACAGAATCTGCTATCTTCCCCCAAGTGTGTTCCTCCTCCTTGATTTCCAGTGCCAGTTGATCCAGTTACCAAAGGAGTCATCTTCTACCTCTACCAAAGGAGTCATCTTCTACCTCTTCTCTCATTCCTTACATTCAACCACCATTCTAATTTCAACTCCCAATTAATTCATGAAGAGGTGCCCACCTCATCACCCTGTATTAGAGTTCTTCAGAGAAACAGAAGCAATAGCATGTATATGTCTATGTGTGTACACATTTAGGACTCAACTCTGGTGTTTCCTACTCCATGAAATCACCCATGACATCCCTATGCTGAGTCAGATGCTCTTATGCTATGCCCCTATAGTACTCTATGAATATCCCTATCACTGCATTTCCCATCATCTGTTCATTTGTCTGTCTCTCTCACTAGACTGAAAGCTCCTCAAAGGCAAGAGCTATGTTTTTTATTAAATATCTCTACTCCTAGGACACAGCAGTTTGTCTGATCTATAGATGATGAGTCATGTTAGCTAATGAATGAATAAATGAATGAATGAGCAGACATGTGGAAGCCAAATTAAAGTCTGCAGAAATAAAAGGAATGAATGGATAAATGAATGAGGTTGTGAATAAGAACTGTCCCAGTTTCTCTTTTTTCATTCAAGCTAATGGCTTTTCTCAGTCTGTTTCAGGAGCAGAGACATATTCTAGGCAAGCCAGACTGCCAGGAAGATAAATTTCTTCTCTCAGGGTTAGCAGGTCCTTTGGAGAAGTTTCATTTTAATTGGAAAATGGATTCATTCACTTCCTGGCTTGGACTCCCAGGTCAGTGCAGCACCACTGAATTGCTGCCAAGTACCAATGGAGAGGGGGGCTGCAGTGGGGAGAGTGCTCCATCAAATGTTGAGCGCTCTGGGACACCTGAGGATAACCTGGCATCTGTTCCAAGCTGGCTCACACAGATGTCCCTTCTTCTTTCTTCCCAAATGTCCTTCAACCCAAACTTAATCATCTCCAACCCGTAAAGGACAGGCGTACTTTACTGTTTCAACTGGCATTTCTTTGGAGTCTATTTGGGTATGTGCATCCTTACTTGTTCATTTACACCACTGTTGCAGAGTTCCACTGTGATTTCCCGCTGGGCATGGACAAAGGCCACAACTCAAAAGTTCCTTCACAACTCAAGTAGTAGAATAAGACCACAACTTAAACTCTTCCTTATGATGGATCCCTAACGGTCCAACCTCACAGAAAATATTTCTAGGAAAATTGCATGTTTTGTCACGGGTCCTTGAGGAGGGCACTGGTCCTTTGTGATGATTCCTGGCTGCCTCTTTAGCCTCACCTCTCAACACCTTCACCTGTCAGCATCTCCACAGTCCCTGATTCTCCAAACAGACTGGTCCAACAGCAGTTCTGATCATGCAATATGCTACTCTATGTAGAGGGCCTCACTACATTCTGCTGCCTCTTCTCCAGAGCCAGAATGCAAGAGTGAATATCCTGGCTCTAGTACTCTGTAGCTATGTGGCCTTGAGCAATCTACTCAACTACTCTTCATCTCAATTTCCTCATCCTATAAAAATTACTGAGGACAATAATAGTGCCTATGCCATAGGGTTGATGGGGGATCAAATGAACAAATATAGGTAATCTGTTTACAGCACCTGGCACATAGTAAGCACTTTTTACCTACGATTGTTCTTATTATTACTTAGAATGTCACTTTCACTACATCCTTCCCTCTTCAGGAAAGAGTAGGGGCTTTAGAGTCGGACAAACCTTAGTCCAAATGTTGGTTCTCCTACTTATTAGTGGTGTTATTTCTGACTAGTAGTCACCTAATGTCTATGAGTCTCACTTTGTTCATTGGTAGCAACATTTAACTCATAGGATTGTTAGCCGAATTCAATTCAGTGAGATTATACATGTTCATGTGCCCATTCTTGTACACTCCTAGTAAACATTAGTTTCCTCCACAATCCTTGTTCTTCTCAAATTACGTGTGGGTCTGTCTCTTCTACTAGACCCTTAGCTCTTTTTTTAGGAAAGAACTATAATTCATTCATCTATCTCCCCAGAATTAGCATCAAATAACTATTTTTCAAGTAAAATATTTCTTGACTTTGCAAAAAAATGGTCTGTCAGTCCTGGTTTGTGGCCAACTATGTGCTAGGTATGCTCATAGAAGATGAAAGGCAGGAATATACTTCCTATCCTCAGGTTAGTTACTGGCTAGGTGGAACAAAGAATCTATGCATATGAAACATGCAGGAAGAATGTATAAATAGTACAGAATAATTCAAGTTCTAAAATACATAATTTATAAACTATGGATTCTGTATGATCATGAAGGAGACAGTGCTGTGGGAAGGAGGTAAGTAAGGGGGTTACTTAGGAGGCAATGTCAGATATGTGTCTAGAGGGAAGGCAAAGACTGAGGAAGATGGGATGGAGGTCAGTCCACACTGAGGCAATGGCCTGAGTAAAAGTGCAGGCAGAAGCATCAGCAGCATCCATGGCCATGGAGAAGGAACTATGAGAAGCTCAGTCTGAGAGACCTGTGTTGAGATGCAGTAAGAGGTAAATCTGGACTTGTATTAGATACTTGAGTCAGAAAAGAATGGGAGCCACCATCAGTCCTTGTGTGGAGAGTGTTTTGTGAACACAGTTTTAGGAATGTTAGGACAGCAATAACCTAGTGGGAAGCCCAGAGGAGAGAAGAAATAGGAGGCAGGAGGATGTGTTCCTGTATACATTTCTGACACAGAGGGAAGAGAAAGGACAGAGCAAATGGAAAGAATGGAAAATGGAGACAAAAGAGAAGAAGTACAGGAAAGAAAATGAAACAAGAAAAATTAAATAGGAGAAAGAAGAAAATAAAGACAAAAGCAAAAGATGAACAAAGAGACCAAAAAGAATGGGGTGAAGAAAAAGAACAGCTTAAACATGAGACGTGAATAAAATGTGTGGGAAATAACAGCAGGACCATGACAATGTCCCCAGCAAGACAAAGCATCGAGAAGGGAGGGCAGAAATCAGCCGTGTTCGCGGTCTGCACACTGTCTTTCCTGTGGATGAATGAAGTCATGGCTGATGTCACTGCCTCTGAGTCACACGCCACCCCCCACCACCCAAGAGAGGCGGAAAGGGCCCTGTCTAGTATTCAGTCCCACCCTCTTGGACAAGTGGGGTTAATTCACTGCTTTATTCTCAGGCACACTGTCTAGTCTTGAGACAACTGAAATGAGGAGAGCTGCTCTGTCTGCCCAGTGAGGACGTGAGTGCTCAAAGCTCATCTTCTCCGGAGTTCTCAGGTCCAGGTCTTTGAGATAGAAGAGTCGGGAAAAATGTCACAAATAGCTTCTGACCTTTCTCTGATTGTGGCTAGGGTGAACTGGCTCCATCCCATGAGGTCCCCCTTCACCCCTGCAAAGAATCCTGTAATTAATAGCATGGAATATATAAAAGGGACTTAAAGGAACTTTTGACGGATTCACAGAGCTTCTTGCAGTCTAAGCTCTCACTATACTGCATTTGCAGCCCCACGGAGGTCTCATTTCCTCAGACTGCCACCAGACTAGCTTTTACAAACTGCCTCACCTCAACTGCTTATTACCCAATTCCAATTCATCCACTGGCCCACAACCTACATATTACCTCCCCGAGCCCCTCGATCCTAACTGGGCTGTATTTCTAGAGTAACCCAAGTTCCCACTGCACTAATGCTGTACTGTGACTTTATCTCTTATCTCCTTTCTAGAATATGAGCATCCTGGGAATAGTGACTCTGTTTTCCTTACTGCTATATTCCCAATATTTAACAAAGTGTCTGGAACAAAACAAATTTTCAATAAATATTTGCTGAATGAATGAACGTCCTTGAACAACTCCGGCAGGAACTTGTTAGCACCACAATATTTTTATTTCTAAAACACACACCCATTTTTACAGCCATCATTCTGAGAAATTTGTGAAGGACACCCTGTAAGGTATTAATAATAGTGCAAGTGGAATTGCCCTGGAAGCATTTACTCAGGGGGGCCTCAGGATGGATTCACTGTCTCCAGCTCCTCTGCTCCCCTGAACTTTGGTTTCTGAGCTGCTGTAGAAACAGCACAGGCTGGAGTTAGATCTGAGCTGGGCCCCAGCTCTACCCACTCAGTAGCTGCATGAGGTAAGTGTCTCTCAGACTGTTCCCACCCACTCAAACAGGAATAATACCCTCTCCCCAAGTCTTCCGGACGATTAAAAAGCACTATTTTTAAAATTTCCTACCCTTCAAACAATGTGAATTCCATTTCCCTTCACTCTTAGATTTCTTACCTGCCTCTAAAGGTAAGTATATGAAAAATAGACCTCACTAATTTTCTTTCCAACAATCAACTTTTTCTGTCACTATCATCTGAAAATCTATCAATACCACCAGCATTCTGCAATTTATCAAATACCTTCTGATACATAATAGTATATCAACACAATTTTTTAGACAGAAAACTAAGGCCCATAAGTGAACTGAATTGCCCAGATAATGCAGATAATAGGTAAAAAGCCTGGGGGAAAGCCCTGGCCACTTGAACCCCAAAACTCAGTACTCCTTCACCACTCTCCAGCTACTGCTTCCCAGGACATGGGAGGTGCTCGATAAATACTTGTACAGTGATTCACTCTCTTTCTCAGGTCCGTGGGCTTGTCTGTGACTCCCAGCCAAAGCCAAGCCACACAGCCTCATGCCAAGACAACTGCAGTAGGCTTCACTCTAGTCCCTGGTTCTCTTCTCATCTCTCTCAGGTTCACAGAATGCCAGCACGAAGGAGAGTTTCAGGGCTTACACGCACCAGTTGTTCCCAAATGCCAGAACAGGGACTGGTGATAGTCCAGGACCAATAATTTTCACTAATCAGTGGTGAAATAATAATAATAATAATAATAATAATAACAATGATAGAAAAATAAAGTTCTTATTATCAATAAAATTATGAATAATTAATCGGTAAAATGAGAGAGAGACTGTATTTCCTAATTGCTTGTTTTGCTTTGCTTGGGTAAGCATCAATACTCTACACATGTGGCGTTACTGAGAAAAAATGTACGTCCATGCCACGGTTCAGACCCTTTAGCAAAGCCATAATGAGAAACGGAGGCCAGGTAGGATAGAGCCACTTAGGCAGCTCTCTAATTTCCTCTGAATATTCCTTCACTTTGCATTTTTGAGCCAAAAGACACTGATCATTCAGATTACAAGCCTAGAAGCTACACTGATGTAGCTTTTCAAGAGGGTGCAGGTATGGGTATTGACAGGGCCACAGAGTTGAGATCAAGCTTGTTTTTATTACTAAACACTCTGAAGTTTATCTAATCCATAGCCTCTCCATACAGGGAGGATTCAGAGAGACAGGAGCCTTTATAGGAATCCAGAGTGGCCATTCTGGATGAACAGACAAGCCTCCAGGGAGGTCTTAGCTGTGTCAGCACTTCCAAGACCCCTGGGTTCAGAAGAGGTAATGAACTCATTCCATCATTTAGTCATTCTTTCTCACTACAAATACCTCAGGGGAATGCAAAGAAGAGGACAAAGTCAGCTCTTGGAGAGGTAACTATAATGTGCTGGAATACAAACAAAAGAGGCCCTGGGTCAGAGTTTGCATAGTGGTGGGAAACAGATCTCACCCAGTCTCAAGTATGATTCTTTCATTTTGAGTCTAACTTTGAACAGCTAAACTTTTAATAACTTTGATAACGTTTTATTCTAGAGTTCATATTTACCTTAAAAATTTATGCCAAACAAATGTGTTATCTGGGATTTTTAACTTAAACCATCAGAAGTTGCTTTCTCTAATCAAAGTGAAGTAATAATACTAAAAATGATAGAAAAATAAAGTCATTATTAAGAAAATAATGAATAATTAATCAGCAAAATAAGAGAGCTCTCATTTTCTAATTGCTTGCTTTGCTTTACTTAGGTAAGCTCCAATGATGTCTTATCTGTAGACAGGGGTACCTGTGTGATAAAGGCTGGTGTTTGACCAGCTAACCTTTACAATAATTTTTCAAATTCATTTCTTAGAGTCAGAAACCTGGGTTTGCATTCCAACGTTGCCAGAGGTAATAAAGTTGATAAGTGGCAATCTACTTAACTCCCTCCATCCTCAATTTCTTCATCTGCAAAGCAAGTGATAACATCTACCTCACAGGATTTTCATAAGAATAAATGGGATAGAAGATTTGAAAGCACACAGTGGATATTTAATAAAGTCTAGTACAGGTGTTGGCCATGTATGTAGATAGCAATAAAACAAAGTCAATATCTTAACTAAAACTTATTTAATATTTCAGAAATGTAAACAACTTTTAATATTTCAAACTGCCTTCCCAAGTGTAACAATCTCCCAACTTATTCCAAAAATGTAAGCTGAGTAGAGGAACAGACAGATGGAAACAACATAAGTCATAAAGCAAGGACAGTAAATGTCCATGGCAGGCTCTAGGTGATGGCTCTGAGTATTCACTGTAAAAGTTTTTCAACTTTTTTATATGTTTGAAATTTTGATAATAAAACATGGCGGGGGGGTGGCAGGGCGGGTAATGGCTTTCACAGCCTCTCGCTCTTGGTACTAGATATGGGAATTCCTTGAGATAAAGGGTGAGCTTGGCTTCCTCCTTTCCTCCCCATCACCAAGCACAGTACTTTGTACCTAGTAGTTACCAGACAAAAGTTTCTTTCACTGATTAAATGAATATATCCCTACAATAACAGAACAATTATGGTCACTTTGGATAATAGGAAAAAAGAAAGTAAAACAGCCCAGGTGTTCAGAGAAATGAGATTTACTTACTCCTCCAAAAGAATACCATTTTGCACCTTTTTGGACTTCTAGCCTGCCACCTTCCTTGCATCAGTGGACATCCATTGACCCTGAGCCTCTAGATTTCCAAGTTGACAGTTTACACGCTATGAGTTACTGTATCACAACACACATTAAATGCATTGTCCTTTTCAGTGTTGTTTCTATAAAGATCGTATTTTCCTCCAGTAAGTGTGACTTCCATTTTAGCCACTATGAGAAAAGAATTTTGTTCAATTTTTGATCGACACAGAATCATACCATGTGTACATAAAGCAAGCCTAACTTCACAATCCTTCCTCGTACCTCTCTGGTTACACTAATGACTCCTAGAGGTGGCCAACATCCCTGCACAGCCGTCAGGAAGACTGGCAACAGGTAAGCCAGGCATGTGGTCTTCAGCACTACAGTCACATGGCTAGCTCCTGGCTGGCCAGGGGACATGAATTCATTTAGTAAATGTTTATTGAGTATTTTTTCAATGCCAAACACTGTGTTTGGCTCTGGGGATATAAAACAGTAAGGTATGAAAAGATAGATTTGGTCCCTGCTTTTATGGAGCTGAAAATCCACCAACCCAAATGAGGAAGAAACATGGTACAGCAGAATAACACACACACACACATATACCAGAATTTAAAGCCAAAAGGACCTTCATTAAGATCCAAGGGACTTCATTTGGCTCCAGTTTAAGCCCAAAGGACCTTCACCAAGATTTGATACCTGTAGAGAAGTCATTTCATTTCTTTGAGGCTTGTATTCATCTGTAAAATGTGAGAAGTAGTAATATTTATCCCACAAGGTCATGTCATAGATCATATAAAGGAAATATTTATGAAAGTCTGCCATAGCCATAAAGTAAAATTTTTTAAAGTATTATAATAATAGCTGACATTTATTAAATGTTACAAGGTATCTGGCCAACAACTTTTTTTCTTTTGTCTGCCTTTTAAAAATTACTTTGCTGGACTATAAAACTAAAAGAATGCAACACATATTTGGTATAAATCAAATATGCAAATACAGGATAATAAGGAAAGGATTCACTGTCCAGGTAGATGAAGGCAAGCCATCAGCCTCAACATTCTGTGTATTTAGTTACAAGTCCAGTACCCACCCTGGAGAGAAAATCCACAACACATGCCCTAACAGCAGCTGACAATACTGTCTTCATTCCTCAAAGGCTGGGAGGAATCTGGTCCAATATACAGGGCCCTGGTATAAACATTCTAAAGAAAGTCTTTCTGATTGAGAAGATGAGTCTTGGATTCTCCTGGGGGGTGAAGGGAGCAACTTAAAGTGGTATCCATCACAGGAGTCCAAAGACACAGTGGAGAGGCCCAGAGGAGTTACTGTCTCAGTCTAGAGCCTTCACTTTGCATACAAAATAAGCTGTGACTCCGGTAACAGGACTGCAGCCAAGGGGTGGCTCTAGGATGGAAAGGAACAGTAATGCTCAAATCTCATTTTCCACAATGAGGAAGAGAAAATTAACTTATGTTGGGCATACAGTGAACCTTTAGTTTGGAATGAAATGATTGGACAAATGCACCTAGCCATCAAAAATGGCATGAGATGATTTAATAAGTTCATCCGCTCATTCATCCACCCATCAAAATATATAATAAGTTATTAATGTTAGAATTTAAACATTGCTCTGGAGGCTAGGGACACTGAGATAAATACAGCACAATGTAATGCAATAAATTCTAGGGTAGAGATAAGCATAGAATGCCACAGGGGACAGAGTGTAGGACCCTAAGTCAAGGAAGGCTTCCTGGAGGCAGTGAAGGCTGGGTTTTGAACTATTATTATAAGTTTTCCTGGTGAAGGAAGAAATTACTATAAGTTTGCCAGGCAGAAGGAAAAACCTGAGCAAAGACCCAGAGGTGTGAGAGAATACAGGCATGGAATCATGAGAGCCCTGGACCAAGAAATTCGCCATCTGGAATGCCTTTCCATTTCTCTAAGCGCTTGCTAGAGGAAAAGTAATGACAGATTCCTTGAACAAATTCCCACAGCCTAAGTCTCAAATTCAAGTGCTCAGAGGGGTAGGGCTGAAAAAGGAAATGAGTGTAGCAGGCTGGGTGAGGACTGCTGCAAAATGAAGAATGCCGACCCCTTCTAAAGAAGGCAGCCCCTATTCAGCTCCAGCCGTTCCCTTCTGCATGGAAGTGTGGACCCTGTATTGCCAAGTTCTTTCATTATTTATTCAGGAAAATAAATAATCTGAATTTTCAGATAAAATTTCTCAATTTTTAAATATTGGAAACTAATTTAAAATTGTTTATTTTTTTTTTCCAAGCACATGGTAGGTCAAACTAAACCTGATTGGGGACCAGATTCAGCCAGTGGTCTGCCAGCCTGTAGCCCTGGCAAGTGGGAAGAAATGAGTGCCCTTTAAAAGCAGGCAGTGAGAGGCAATAGTTAGATCCCAGGAGCTGGAGGCAGACTGGACTAGGTGAGAATCTGGGCTCTACAACCTACTATTGTGTAGCTTTGGGGATGCTACTTAAGTCCTCTGAGTCTTGGTTTCCTCATACTGCCACACAGATACAGTAAAACAGCATGCTGTTACACTGTGTCACTAAAGGGCAGAGATAAAATTCTGCCTGTGAAGTCCCTAGCATGTTGCTTTTTAGGAAAATAAGCCCAAAAAGAAAAAAAAAAAATCCCTTGCTCAATAATGAAGTGTTGTCAACCAGAAAGGTTAGCTATGACTACAAGCTTTGAATGGAAAATTACTAAGTAATAAAAGCATGAGCATTGTGCTAAAACAGTAGCAAACTCTTCCAACCATGAACAGTGTACCAGTATTAATGTTTTCTTGTGTGTATATGGCCAGTCTTTTTTTCCATACTGATAGTTTCTTTAAACAAATGTATTTATAAGACTGTTCATTAGTCTTCTAACTTTTCTTCCCTTTAACATTACAGTATGTAACAAACCTGCACGTTGTGCACATGTACCCTAAAACTTAAAGTATAATAATAAAAAAAAAACAGTATGAAGTTTGTTGTTGCTATACAAATATTTACTATCTACCTAGCACATATGCCAGAATGATTTTTTTAAGGTCATAAAACATACTGTGTCACACCCATGTTTAAAGCCCATCAACCATTTCCCACTGATCTTGGAATAAAACTCAAACTCCTGCCCCTGGCCTCAAGGCTGCATGCAGCAGCCTTTGCCCACTTCGCCAAACCCCCTCCTACGCCTCTGTGCCTTGCTCATACCCTCCTGGCCCAGCTGACCTCCTTTGCTGATCTCATGAGGTGCTTTCCTCCCCCACAGTGAATCTGTTGCTCCTCCTTCCTATCTCATCATTCAGGTCAAACAAAAACTCCCAAGAGAGGCCCACACTCGCTATGCCAAATCTGTTCATCTGTGTTTTTCCTTCGTAGCATTTTCCAGAAAACAAAATTACTTTGTGTGTGTCTATTTTCTGCCTCTCTACACTAGACTCTAAGTTCCCAGAAGCCTACCCCAGGGCCCTTATCCCACTCATTCACCTTGGCATCTCCAGCGCCCAGCAAAGTGCCTCTCACACAGGAGACACTCAGTATTTCTTAAATGAAACAATGAAGCTACTGACCATTGTTCACAGCCTCAGATCCTCCCGAAGCCATCACCCACAAATTTCTTCCCTAAACTAGTTTATGCAAAGCCTGCAAAGCAAACGCTGAAAGAGGCAGTAGAGCAAAATGGTGATAAGCCCGTACTCTGGATGTGAAATGCCAAAGTTCAAATCCCAGCCTTGCCACTTATTAGCTGAGTGACCTTGGGCAAGTTGCTTAAAGTCTCTGTGCCTGTTTCCTCATCTGTAAAAGACAATAATTAGGCTGGGCACAGTGGCTCACACCTGTAATCCCAGCACTCTGGGAGGCCGAGGTGGGTGGATCACTTGAACTCAGGAGTTTGAGACCAGCCTGGGCAACATGGTAAAACCTCATCTCTACAAAAAAATACACAAATTATCTGGGCATGGTGGTGTGTGCCTGTAGTCCCAGTTACTCAGGAGGCTGGGGTGGGAGAGCCGCTCAAGCCTGGGAGGCAAAGGTTCCAATGAGCCAAGACTGTGCTACTGTACTCCAACCTGGGTGACAGAGCAAGACCCTCTCAAAAAAAAGAAAAGAAAAGAAAAATACAATAATTATAGGGTAGCTGTGAGAAATAAATGAATTATCATGGGTAAAATGCTTAGAAAAGTACCAGATGTATTAACAAGCACTACATACGCTTTAGCTCTTATTTTCATCTATTTTCTTGTTCTGCTCTTACTGCTTGGTTGCTCTGTATCTTTATTCTTTAACTAGACTGTAATTTCTTGGTGGCAGAGACCACTTCTGGATTCCCACACTGAAAGTGCACAGGTTCCCATAAGGTAGCAGATGAGGGAACAGAGCTAATGGTGTGGCTCTTGACATGGGTTTGCTTACATAGTATGAGACCACGAGTAAGTTATTTAACTTTTTTGAGCTTCAGTTTCCTCATCTGGTAATATAAAAAGAGATAATATCTGTCCCACAGACTGCTGTAAAGATTAAATAAAATAACTCTTGTGAAGTAAAAACATTCTGAGACTGGCGGCACTGGTAAATGTCAAGGGAAACAAGTAGAAGGTACTCAAGTAAGTTAATCAGCTTTACAGCTCGAAGTTGGCTGCCTTTGGAATTGGTATTACACATAGGATGTGGGTGATTCAAATAAATGAATGACTGAAAATATGTTCTGTGCTCTTCTATTCTCTATTTTCTATGATTGTCTCTAGAAACTTTGATGATGGTTTCTAGAATTTTCCTTAATAAAACAGGAAAAAACATATCACTCATTATGGCCAGCCCCATGAAATAGGATATTTTAGTCTTTAAAATTATCTCAGTTAGTGATAGGATGTTACTGAAATGCCCATCAGTAGAAACAAGCACTTTTAAACACAATGATAATGAAAATAAAGTACCATTTGAGTATCTACTATATAAGCCACTTTACAAATACCTCACTAACTCATAACTCTACAAGACTGATACTATTGTCCTCATTTTATAGCTCAGCACACTGAGACTCAGAGAAGTTGATTTTAGCTTGTCCAAGATCCCACAATTGGTAAGTGGTACAGAAAAATTTAAATGCAAGTTTGGCTCCAAATCCTGTACTTTTCTGTATAGATTTGTGTTATATCTCCCAAAGTTCCTCAATATCTTGTATTAGTGCTACTATTAAGACCTGATGAACACAGTTGAATAGTAATTAGACAGTAACTAACTAAGAAAGACTAGTTTCCACCATACTGCCATCTATTTAAATGATGGCATTTCAAGGAAAGAAACTTATATTGTCTATCTTTCATGAAGTTTCAAGATTAGACTAAGGTTTAAGATAGAGAAAAGGTGTTATTATGTCATCAACAAGAGTGACAAAATAAGGCCAAATAAGGTTTTAAAAATTAGCTTCGTCCAGCCTCTCAAGTTACAGAAAGAACTAGAAGAACCAAGCTTCCCTGACCTGCAGCAGGGTTTTCTTTTCAGCAGTTCCTACTGCAAAGCACTCAAGTGACAGCTTCCACAGCTAGCAGGAAGTTATCAAACCACCTCTCTAGCCATCCAAACCCCCAGGTTCCCCCCAAAGAATCTACCAATTGGAGAATCATTTCCTCATTTTCCCAGTATGTTATCAGGAGGACAGAAGCACAGGGGCACAGACAGGGGAGAGAGAAGCAGCAGGTATATTTCCTGAATCCATCAACAAAATCCTGTGACATTCCAGACAGTTGGTTCCAGAACTTTGGAATAAGCAAGAAAAATCTCAAACTATAAAATGATTAGCTTTCTGCTCTGCTGACAATGGCAAAAGAGGAAATGAGTTAAAAGACAGCTTGGAAGATCTCCATGTAGCCCCTACAAGCCACGTTAATTACCTCCCATTAACATTGAGCTGTCAGGATCCACATCAGCTCAGCAACTCTCTTGACCTTCCTCAGTCTGCACCTTGTTAACCCTACAATGTTTCATGTTTATAAAGATAGGAGACCCCAGCTGCTCAAGCCTGACAGAACTTAATTTACATTTGGCCTTCATTAAGATGAGAGTCAGAATCATTGAGACCAAATGGAAAAGCCAGACTGCTGGGGGTTATGAAAAATTCAAATGGCATTTTTCCTTTCATCTGACAATTCTTATTAAGGAGACAAATGTCAACCTGAAACACATAAACTTTAAATGAAAAGGACATGATTAAATTCCATATTTGCAGGACTAGGATCCAGGTGACTTTGTTCAAGAGCTATGGTGGTCCTAGAACATCTCAAGACAGATAAAACCCCAAATTCTGCCCAACTTCCTCTGACATCTGACTCTAGGCTAAGGACAAGGAGAAGATAAATGACAGCAATAACGAAGTGAGTGGTCAGCTCTGGCTCCTCCATCTGACTCACTCCTCACAGCCAATCAGTGTCAATGTTCTATTGATATTATCCTCTAAAAATTTCTAGGACCCATCTCCTGCCATCTCACAGTGCCTCATTCAGGTCTCATTAGTTCTCCCATGGAGTACTGTAACAGCCCCTTATTGAGTTATTGAGTCATTCAAATTATTCAGAAAATATGTACTGAGCACCTACTGTGCACCAGCCATTTGGTTAAGGACCAAGACATAGCAAAGAACGAGGTGGATATGATCTCTATCCTCCTGCAGATTACAATGGTTGGAGCAAGCATTATATAAATCACCACAAAAATTGACGTAGCATTACAATTTACGAAAGATATAATGAAGTAAAATTAAGAGTGTAATAACAAGAGACTCTGATGTATTTGAGGATCAGGAAAGGCTTTTCAAGAGAGCAAAAATAAAACTGAAACCTAAATGATGAGGAAGAACCAGCAGTGAGTAGAGGGAAGAACACTGTAGGTGAAAGACTCAGCATTGTCAAGACCAGGGGTCGGCAAACTTTTCATCTGTTGGTCCAGATGGTACATATATATTCTGCCCTGTAGGCGACATAGTCTCTGTCTCAACTACTCAGCTGTCACTGTAGTGTGAAAACAGACATAAACAACACATAAATGGATGAGTGTGGCTGTGTTCCAATCAAACTTTACTTACGGCCACTAAAATTTTAATTTCATATTATTTTCATAAGTCACAAAATATCATCCTTTTGATTCTTTCTTAACCACTTGAAAATGTAAAACCATTTACATTTTCTCAAGCCATCCAATAACAGGCAGTAGGCCAGATTTGGCCTGGGTGCCATAGTCTGCCAACCTCTAGCCAAGACTCATGTAACAAAAAACTCTAAGTGGATTCCTGTAGATGGGATATAGTGAGCTAGGATGTAAAAGACAAACAGTGACGAGAGAGGAAGAGGTAAAAATGACATCATGCACCATTTTCTAGTCCATGTTTCAGTTTCTGGAATTTATCTAACAGAGCAATGCAAAGCCATCAGAGTGCTATCATCAGGGGAATGAGAAAACTCTAGTTCTTACTCCCCCACACACATTTTCTCACCCTAATCCAATCTCCACATGTCTGCCAGTTACCTAAGCCAGCCCCTCCCTTGCTTAACAACCATCAACCAATCCCTATCACCAAATAAGCCCTTAATAAGCCGAACTCAGACTATTTACCTGGCCTCATCTCCTGCTATGCTTGCTGAAGCACCCCAGCTCATGCCCTGGGACTCACCTACCATAACACAGATGAACCACAGTCTCTCTTCAGAATGTCTTTCCTATCTTCTCTGCTAGGCAAAACCTCTACTCATATCTTGAGGCTCCTGTCAAACTATTGCCTCTGGGAAGCAAATCCTTTTTCCCAAAGCACTTTGTATATTGCTATATCACAGTGCATAGTACATTTGATGGCTCTGTTTTCATGTCACTCCTGCATCCACCCCATTCCTTATGCTCCCCTACCACTATCCCTAGTGGACTGTGTGCTGCTCAATGGTAAGGTTGAGTCCTTATTGTCCCCAGTTCCCCAGTGCCTATCACAGTTGCTGGTTCATAGTTGAGCTCAGTACAGACTTCCAAGAATTAAAGAATGAAGAAGGAGTAAACACATGACAGCTTGATGAACTTAGAACACAGAATCTCATGCTTTTATACTGAACGGGCACTTGAGCAGCTCTACTGAAGCTATCAAACTTTCCTGTGTCTCCCATCATAGCATTAAAAACAAAGGTACCATTCCCTGATTCCCCAAAAGTGGATGCTTTTCAGGGTAGGGGAGCAGAGCTTTTGGAATTAAAAGTGGTTTCACAAGTTCCCAGGCCACTAATATTAGCATCACCCGTGAACTTGAGTTAGAAATACAAAATCTCAAATTTTCAGTCCCTATCCCAAAGCTACTGAATCAGAACCTAAGATCTCCAGGTGATTCATTTACACATTGAAGTCTGAGAAGCACTATAGCCCTCCTGGTCAGGCTTTAAGAAGATGCTAAAACTGACTTTAGAAATCTCTTTAATTTTGATTTTGCAATCATGTTAAAGCCAAAGGAATTCTCAGCAAGAATTCCTGTACATGCTTACCAAAACACACCCCACACTAGAGGCTTACTCAGAAAATTCTGAAAGAAAATTGATTTTTTAAAATAAATTAATATAAGATGTTCTCAGAGGGTCACAAACACTGCCATGTAATCTAGACTTTAACTATTTCCTATGGGATTTATTTAGTGCAGTTTTATCTCAAGTGCGAGATGGTAAGAATCCTGAGAGGTTCGTGCCAGATATGCATTTAGATCTCCTGGGATATAGGCTGGAGCTGGCCACATGGCAAGTGCTCTAGAAGGCCCTGACACTGAACCAATGACCCTCCGCCCAATCCTCTTTGCTTAACTCAGTATAACTTTTCTTTCTGTGTTGCCAAAAAAGGTGATATATCCAATCCAAACTTGTTGATATAGCAACAAGTTTAGGCCAAATTGAAGAAGACCACTGCCATCATTCCTGGTCCTACGCCAAGAGCCATGCTTCACAGAGGGATTTTACTACTGCATGACATGATGGAATAAGCTGAGATTTGGAGCCCAGCAGACATGGATTTAAATTCTGGCTCTATCACCTGTTTGGGAAAACCTCCTTAGGATCAGTTTCCTGTGCTATCTACCAGGCACAGACCATTAGGATTAAAATCAACTAATGCTTATACAACTCAAAGCAGGGTACCGGGCAGCGCAGAACAGTTCTATATTCCAATTTTGTGTTTCAGTATATACCCGAGTCAGGTTTTCAAACTGGTTAATACAACTCTCCCACTTTATACATGAAGAAAGTGAGGCCTGAAATAAGAAGTGCTTTGACCAAAGCATACAATTGTTGACAGTAGAGTCAGAATTAGATTCTTGAAAACTCCTGACTCCTAAGAAACTCTGTTTTCAAACTCTTAGCAACCACAGAAGCCTTTATGTAGATTAAAACTTACAAAACAGCTCAATATATAAAATAGCTAAAAAGCCAAGCCTGCTTTGATTGCTGAAGCCCTTCTTTCCTACCACTCTCCTGCCCCGTGATGGCAATCCTTAGGCACCCTCTCAGCAACCTAAGCTCTCCCCATCTCCATTTACAATCTGAGTAATAGAAGACTCAGCCCACCTGAAATCTCAGAGCCAGTAAATGAATCACAGCAGGTCATGCTCATTAGATGGATTCTCTACTTCTCCAGACCACCTAGAGGTTTTCAAGTCCTTGAGATTCCCAAAGGACTTGAACTTTCTCACACATCCATCTCTAATGGGAACCATTAAGCTGACATCACCATTCTCCACACTTCAGAAAGAAGTCCTAACATCTGGAAATGGGAGCCACCTGCAAGTGCTTTGACCAGAGATTGCCATATCATTTAAGGATGAGAAACTCGAGTGCAGGTGGGATGAGAAAGGGAAAGCCTAAGATGTCAACAAGGCCAAATATTAATAAGTTGGGGCTAAAAGTGTACAGAACAGCAAAGCTCTGGTCAGAAGATATGGACTTAAATCCCACCTCGGCTGCTTTCTCATTGGAACGGTAATTAACCTCTCTGAACTCCAATAGAATACTGGGTATTAAAAGAATTGATTTTGTTCACATCCTTTGCCCAGTTGTTGATGGGGTTGTTTTTTTCTTGTAAATTTGTTTGAGTTCATTGTAGATTCTGGATATTAGCCCTTTGTCAGATGAGTAGATTGCAAAAATTTTCTCCCATTCTGTAGGTTGCCTGTTCACTCTGATGGTAGTTTCTTTTGCTGTGCAGAAGCTCTTTAGTTTAATGAGATCCCATTTGTCAATTTTGGCTTTTGTTGCCATTGCTTTTGGTGTTTTAGACATGAAGTCCTTGCCCATACCTATGTCCTGAATGGTACTGCCTAGGTTTTCTTCTAGGGTTTTTATGGTTTTAGGTCTAACATTTAAGTCTTTAATCCATCTTGAATTAATTTTTGTATAAGGTGTAAGGAAGGGATCCAGTTTCAGTTTTCTCCATATGGCTAGCCAGTTTTCCCAGCACCATTTATTAAATAGGGAATCCTTTCCCCATTTCTTGTTTTTCTCAGGTTTGTCAAAGATCAGATAGTTGTAGATATGTGGCATTATTTCTGAGGGCTCTGTTCTGTTCCACTGGTCTATATATCTGTTTTGGTACCAGTACCATGCTACTATAAAGACACATGCACATGTATGTTTATTGTGGCACTATTCACAACAGCAAAGACTTGGAACCAACCCAAATGTCCAACAATGATAGACTGGATTAAGAAAATGTGGCACATATACACCATGGAATAATATGCAGCCATAAAAAATGATGAGTTCACACGTCCTTTGTAGGGACATGCATGAAGCTGGAAACCATCATTCTCAGCAAACTATCACAAGGACAAAAAACCAAACACCACATGTTCTCACTCATAGGTGGGAATAGAACAATGAGAACACATGGACACAGGAAGGGGAACATCACACACCGGGGCCTGTTGTGGGGTGGGGGGAGGGGGGAGGGATAGCATTAGAAGATATACCTAATGTTAAATGACGAGTTAATGGGTGCAGCACACCAACATGGCACACGTATACATATGTAACTAACCTGCACGTTGTGCACATGTACCCTAAAACTTAAAGTATAATAATAAAGAATAACCGAAAAAAAAAGAGGAAAAAAAAGGCATAAAGGCATCAAAAAGATACACTTTTTCTGAGATTGCTTCTTTGCTAACTGATTTTTCCTTCCACCACGACGTCTAAGATTAAAAGAGAAATTGATACTTAAAAAAAAAAAAAAAAAAAAAGAATTGATTTTGGATGGCCGGGCACAGTGGTTCACACCTATAATCATATCACTTTTGCAGGATCACATAAGGCCAGGAGTTCGAAATCAGCCTGGCCAAAATAGTGAGACCAAGTCTCTACAAAAGAAACATTTTAAAATTAAAAAAAAATGATTTTGGAGTCAGCCAGTCTTAGGTTCAAATTCTGGTTCTGTCACATATTTACTTTGTCACTTTGAGTGAGTTGTTTTATCTCTATGAACATTCGTTTTCTTGTCTACAAAACAGACACCCTAAAATAAACACCACACACAAACACTTCATAGGGTCGTTGGCCTTCAAAGAGATAATGTGTACAATACTTGTCACAGTGCCTAGTATGAGTTAGGCACATAAAAACAGGTGTGATTTAACTACACTGTAATCAATAAAATGGGATCAACCTTCCTCCTAGTTGCTGGGAAAAATCAAACATAACCGATTTTAGCAGGGTGCCTGGTACCTACAGGTCCACAGTAACAGGAATCCTCTACTATTGTTGGTATCTTCTCTTAGACCCTATGCACTCACCTCTTTCAGCCACAGAAGTTTCGGGGCCTGCATTTCCACAGACATCACCCCCCCGACGTACTGGAGGACACTGTGCTTGGTCTCATTGATCCTGTTAACTTGACTGACTGCTCGATGGTCCAGCCACATGATGACGTTTCGATGGGAATCCCCTAGCAGAAACGAGAGGGAGATGCAGATGGACACACATTCTCTTCCTTCTAATTCAAGGGAACAATTATGGATTCCCAAGATCAAAATGCTATGTACTTTCTATAATTTTATGTATCAAGAGTGTGCAAAATGAAAGGACACCAGCAAGGCTGAGGAAAGCACTGTCCCCAGGCCTGGAATTTCCCGTCCAGTCATGTGTTCTCTGACCATGACCTTAGAATAAATGTCTACATTAAAAGCAGAAAACATCTACCAATTAATTATATTATCAAGTATTCTCTCTCAAATTCTTCCCTTCCTTTCTTATCCCTTCTGTTCTAGAAAAACTTTTCTGGGCATACATTCAGGAAAGGTGTCTATGAAATAAGACTAAGACAATACTTTCTAAGATCTGTCTCCTTTAAATATGGATAAATACTTTGACGGTATAATACATCTAATAGCTAAACAATGGCATTTAACTGCTTATATTCCCACTTTTTCTGGTCACTTTAATTAAAATTAGTTTATGTAGGTGTTTTTTTTTTTCCTCATTTGGTTGGCTTGTTTGCTGGCGTGGGAAGCTCATGGGTTTTGGAATTAGGCAGATCTAACAGGGAATGCTAGTTACAGATGAAGATACAGTTACAGATGAAGATGTATAATTCAGGAAGTTTTTAAACAAAAGATAATGCACATAAAGGATATGGCAAGTACTTCTCAGAAAGTAGGCCCTCAGGAGGAGAAAATCATAAGGAGGAGAATTTAAAACCAGCTGGAAAAGGAGCACTGCCCCTCATATCCTGCCTTACCACCCTGTAGTCCACACAGTAACTCCTTATCTCTCTCCCCAGCCTCTGTTAATTCATCCTGTACCAATGGGCAAGCCAGAAATCCTTTAACAGCCCTCTGATGCCTCTGATGGCAAAAGTTGCAGAACAGCAATTAATATACCCGAGAGATTATTAGGGCAAAGAGAAAAGAAACCCAGCAGTTACCAAACCAGGTATTATATTTTCACACATTATTTTATTTAATGGCAAAGTAACCGCAGCACTACATATCTTGCTAATAGTAAATGTTTGTAATGTGTGTTTGTCTCCCAAGCCCTGTGCTAAACATTTTACACATATCATCACATTTAATCCTCAAAACAACCCTCTGATACAGGTTTTTAACCCCTGTTTTTCAATGACAGACTCTTGAAAGTGAAGACGTACCCAATGTCTCACAGCTGGGAAATGCACAAAGTGTATTTTGGAACTAGATCTGCATAGAGAACAGATAAATCAATTCTTAAATGAATAAACTAGAGTTAGACATAGTAACATGAACAAGGACACCAGCTGAGATACTTTAAAACACAGAGTCAGCCCTCCATGTCTGTGAGTTCTGCATCTGTGGATTCAACCAACCGTGGATTGAAAATATATTTTTTTAAATGGATGGTTGCATCTGTACTGAATGTGTACAGACTTTTTTACTTGCCATTATTCCCTAAACAATATAGTATAACAAGTATTTACCTAACATTAGGTATTATAAGTAACCTAGAGATTATCTGAAGTACATGGGAAGACGTACATAGGTTATACGCAAATACGATGCCATTTTACATCAGGGACTTGAGTATCTGTGGGTTATGGTCTTAAGGAGGTCCTGGAACAAGTACCCCTCAGATACAGAGGAAGGATTGTATACTGTTTGTTGTTGTGGGTATACACATATGTAGTAAAAGCACAAAAACAATGTGTTTAAGAACAGCAACTACAGCAGAATGGTTACCTGCAGGAGGTGAAAAGCTGAAGTTACAAATATCTTTTTTTAAAATAAAAGGAGCTGAGGCAAATATGGCAAAATTTCATGTTTATCCTCAGTGGTAGGCGAATAGGAAGATGTTGCTTTCTTTACCCTTCCACATCTTTGAAAAGAATGTTTAAAATTAAAACCAAAAAAAAAAACAACAAAAAAAGCCAATGTAAGAAGATACCTAAATAAGGTCATGGGCATAACAAGGCAGGGGCTCAGTTGCCTAACTGGAAAGATATCACCTCCCACAAAAGCTCCACAAACCATTATACTAATACTTTGAAAATAATACAGAGTACATGGGACCTTCCACAGGAATGTCAAAGAATTTTTTGTAAACAGAATTGTTCCTCTATCTAACAGAAGTGCTCAAAGCTCTAGTTCTCAAACCTAGTTGCACATTAGCGTCGCCTTGATAACTTTTAAAAATACTGATGTCCAGCTCCTATTCCACAACCATCAATGAATCAGGATGTGGGTGTATGTGTGGGTGGGTGAGTGTTGAAGGGGACAATATCAGTATTGTTTCTTAAGTACTGTACAGAACAAATCTACAGCTACTTTAAGGTAAAAATACCTGTTGCTAAACTTCTGCCTATAGTAAAGACAGACCAATCAGCTACTACTGCCTCTACATAAAGATGCTCTCAAAATGCAGTCAGAACAATACAATGAAAATTGTACAGAATCATTACTGTATTAGAATTAATAATTTTCGTTTTAGATAAAAACTGAGAAGTTAATTTTTTTCAGCTCTTATGGAAAACTGAAAGTTCATTTAATCTTTTATTGAGCATCTACTACATGCCAAGCACAGTGTTGGATGCTAGGATATCAAGAAGAATGTGCCACAGTTCTGCCCTTAAGCAACATATGTCTGCAGGAGAAAGAGTCTATACTGTGTGTTGACTGCCAGAACAAGAGTACCAGACATGGGAATGTGGAGGAGGAGCAAAGAGCAGGCTCTAGTTAGCTGAGCCTGGAGCTGCACAGAAAGCTTTCAAAAGGCAGGAAAGTGTTTATTTAATTCTTCAAATGACTAGCCAATGGCTAGGCAGGTGAGGAAAGAGTGAGAAAGAGGTTCTATACAATAAGGCAGCATGGGAAACAGAACACAGACCCACAAAAATGTTGTCGTTTAAGAGAATTGGAGGTAAAGTTACATTTGAGCTACCTCACTTTACCTAAGGGTAGATTATTCATCCATATATTCACTTAATTAATACCTTGCTAAAATACATGTTTATGTTCACAGAATGTGTTGCAGGCATACTTGAGGGGAAAAAATATTATGAATCAGCAAAAAAATCTAAACATTAGGTATCTGTTGCACAGAGGAGACTAGGTCATAACTCCCTCTCCCAGCCCCAATTATCACCCTTTGTTCCTCTCCCTCCCAAGAGCTCCTATGGCTGAGATGACACAATCAGGGTAAGGCTCTGAGTTTGGTCAGTGGCAGGGGTAGGAAGCATTCAGCAACTGTGCTG
Organism: Homo sapiens; assembly: GCF_000001405.40. Lineage (NCBI taxonomy): Eukaryota > Metazoa > Chordata > Mammalia > Primates > Hominidae > Homo > Homo sapiens. The sequence continues at coordinate 59,342,970 of NC_000001.11, read as the reverse complement.
CTGTCCAGCCCAGGGGTTGTTCTGATCTTTAAGGAAGAAGAGTCAAACAAGGAAAGGCAAATGAGACTATTTTATCATAGACTAATGCTGAATTTTCTTAAACTATTGTACTTAATTTATTCGTTTATAATTTTTTGGTTAACATCTAAAGACGGCAATACTTTTGCTGGTCTTATGGGTTTGGTTTTAGGTTATCTGCATGATTAGGGTTATCTGGAATCTTCCTGACCCCACTCTCTGCTCCTCACAATTACTCCCATTAGCCAATCAAGAGTTGGTCGCTGCCATGCAGGTAGGAGTCTCTAAAGAACCTTCAAACCACCTTTATAATTCTAATTTCATTTTCTTGCACAGGATAATTCATTTCAGATAAAAGATCTAACCTTAATACAATCTGTTGAAAGGCAAGAAACTGATGAGGGCACCTGCAGCTGGATGCATTTGATGAATGGGTACACTTTAACCTTTTAGGTGGAATAAAGTTATTTCAACACTTATAATTAGAGTGATAACCTAGTTACCTTTTTAATAGAGGATTTGTTAACAGGAAGCCATTCTACCTACAATGAAAGAAAAATAGCATCCAAAGAGGGTACATATTTAAGCAAATTTAACAAGGAACTGTCTTCTTCCACTTCAAGTGTTCTGTTCCTAATATTTTAATTCTCCGTTAATCTGTCCCCAGTGATTCTCTACATACTAGACTTACTGAGAAAACTTTTTTAAAAAGTTGACACCCTAGCTCCACCTCAAGTCAAGTGAATACAAATCCTGAGGGTAGGGCTCATGAATTGGCAATTTTTAAAAAGATCTCCAGTTGATACTAATGCACAGCCAGAATAAAAATAAATAAGTAAACATGTATTTTAGCAGATCAGATGATACAAAATCCTTGAAACAGGACTCTTAGTATCTAAAGTTCCACCCAAAATCAGGCTCTCTAACATGGCTCTTGTGCTTTATGGAACCAAGTTCCCTCTAACTCTGCCCCCAACACCACCCCACTCGTGCCAATTGCTCTCCAGGCTTTTAACTTCTGGGACGGTGATTTCTAGCCTCCACACTCTGCCTCTAAATCTCACTATCAACAGTAAGAGACATCTGATCTATGGCATCCCAAACAATCACCTGACCTTTACTTAAATAAAGCCCATAAAAGATATACTGACAGCCTCCCAAAACGGCCAGGTCTGTGGCTGGCCACATCTTGTAATTAGTGAATGCTTGCTGCTGCAGAGCTGAGGTTTGCTCTACCCAGGTTTGGTCTCTGCTTTCTGAAATGGCTCAGAACAAGGCTGCCCTGTCCTGGGCCAGAACAGTGCCAACTGAGCCAATGAACAGCCACCAAGAAAAAGAACCGTCCTGATTTATCTTTGAAGCCCCAGCATTTGCTAAGACAGGGCTTGGAACACAGGAGGTGTTAATAAATGTCGCAAGAAGAGGGAAAAAAGTGTGTGTGTCTGTGCAGAAAATGGTCATCATTACCACTGTGCTCTAATCATTCATCTATTTGCATCCATTTTCAGCACATAGTGATTATGATTATTTATAGTGATCACTTATAGTGAAAAGGGATGCAAATAGATGATCATTTATAGTCCTTATAATTATAATAATCACTATTTCATACATTAGGTCCACAGTAGTGACCGGAATATTCTCTTAACTTAAAAAATTCATCATCTGATGGAAGAAACTTTTCTGAGCATTTTAAGTATCAGTCTCTCACTAAATTCTCACAGCAAAGCTACTGATTCATTCAAATTCTTTCAGAGAAGAAAACTGAGAAACACAGAGTTAAGTGGCTTGCCCAAGGTGTCACAGCTCAGCAACAGCAGAGCTACAATCAGAGTCCCCGCCTAACTCTAATTCCACTGTGTATCAATGTACCCTACTACCTCATAGCCAACAGTTAAGAAAGATGCTGCTGCAACAGTGTGCAGAATCAAGGGTTCTCTAACAGAATCTAGCCCCAAATATGTTTGCAATGGCTATCTTGGCAACAGCTGACTGACAATGCCTAGAGCTGGCCCTTCCCTTCAGATGGAGCATGCAATTTCCAGTGCAATGCAGCCTCCACTGCTCCCTAATGTCATCTGCTCATTACAAGGTTAAATATCAGTTGAAATTTATCTTCACACAGGTGCAGTGGTTTTTCTCAAACCTGGCCTATTACTCATTTACATTACCCATCTGACTAATGTATTAATTATTACATTAATATATTAATAGACTTTCGGGTTTGTAACCCCAGTACAAACGTTATTGGCTAAAATTCCCCAAAAGGGACAACCTTATCTGCTGTGAAAAATCTCTGATGGTGGACCCAAGTAGCACTTTACATTTCAAACAGCTCATTTCTGTACTCACAAGTGTCTATTAGGACAACACCATTTAATGTGAATGTCTTTTGGTCTGGCTACTGAAAATAGAGAGGCCATCTGCTTCTACCTTCTATCTGTCACATGGCCCTGTCTACCATGTTCCATTTCCTTTCAAAGGACTTGGCTCATCCACTCAGATAAGCACGGAATAGGAATATCGTATACAAAGAAACTGCAAGCACTGACACTCTCTTCTCAGAAAACATCAAAACCACCTGTGTGTTTCAAGGTTAATCACTCCTAGCTAACAATCTCATATCCTTCCTTTACCAAGCTCTGCACTGTGGCTCCTGAGTTTTAGAAAGCCTAGTCCCCCTAATCCAGCGTCAACACCACCCCACTCATACCAACTGCTCTCCAAGCTCTTGACTTCTGCAACATGATCTGTGTCACTTCACTCTACCTCTAAATTTTACTATCAGCAGCAAGAGACGCCTGCCCTCCTGTTCCACCTGGGCCCATTGGATTAATCAGCCAAGTATCCCACCACTGGGAAAAGGAAGAGACATGGTCTTACCTTCCTGGTTGACTGGTAATGGGTGAAACTGCTTATCCAAAACAACCAGAGAACACGTGGCATCAAACCCAAGTCCTCGAATTTGGTTTAAATCAATCCCTTGTACAACTTTCTGTTTTAAAAACAAATAAAAACATAAATTACAACACCAGGGTCTTTAAAGATTGAAAACAGTTACAACTAGAAGGAAGGAATGACAGAATAGAAAAAAATCTTTACAACATAAAACAGATAAAAATTTAGTATCACTATAATCCCAAAAGATCCTATAAATAAGAAAAAAAGAACCAAACTAACTGGAAATTAAGGCCAGGCATGGCAGCTCACACCTGTAATCCCAGCACTTTGGGAGGCCGAAGTGGGTAGATCACAAGGTCAGGAGTTCAAGACCAGCCTGGCCAACACAGTGAAACCCTGTCTCTACTAAAAATACGAAAATTAGCCAGGCATGGTGGTGTGTGCCTGTAATCCCAGCTACTCAGGAGGCTGAGGCAGGAGAATTGCTTGAACCTGGGAGACGGAGGTTACAGTGAGCCGAGATCACGCCATTGTACTCCAGCCTGGGCAACAAGAGCGAAACTCCATCTCAAAAAAAAATAATAATAATAATTAAAAATAATTGGAAATTAAGCAAAGGAATAAAAAGTCACCTCATAAAATAAAAAGAAATGGTCAAAGAGCATATGAGAAGATTCCCACCTCCAATTAGATAAGTACAAACAAAAAGATATCAAACTGTTTGCTTTTCATATTGGCAAAAATATAAAAGATTAATACTACAGGCTGTTATTACTTACCTGAAATGCTTGTGATCAAAAGCATTTCAGATTTCAGAATTTTTCAGATTTTGGAATATTTGTATATAACATAATGAGATATCTTGAGGATGAAACCCAAGTCTAAACACAAAATTCATATATGTTTCATATATACCTTACACACATAGCCTGAAGGTAATTTTATACAATATTTTTAATGATTTTGTGCATGAAACAAAGTTTATGTACACTGAATCATCAGAAAACAAAAATGTTACTATCTTAGACATCCATGTGTGGCGTCACAATGCCACTCAAAAAGTTTTGAATTATGGTGCATTTTAGTTTCAGAGTAGGGTTGCTTAACCTGTATATGGTAGTGGCAATATATGCAGAAGTGGACCTTCTTGGAGATTATTCTAACAATATAATTAATGACAACAAACTTTGGAGAATAATTTGACATTTATTAAAATTAAAAATGCACGTATCTTATTAGCAAAAGTAAGTAAAGTTATATATAGAAGAAGGTTAGCTTCAGCACTGCTCAGACTATATTTTAAAAGTGAAAAAACTATTTTTATTAAATAAATTATGGCATGTTTGTAAAATGAAATACTATACAGATTTTTTTTAAAAAGAGGTAGAGAGGCAACTGCTGGGTGTGGCGGTGTGAAGTCAAAAAATCCTCTTAGCAAAATAAAACTAATAAACTGGACAAAACTATCAAAAACCACCATTTTGGGGTTATGGAAATTGGCCAAAGCCATGTGAAAAATTGAGAAGCACTTTTTTTTTGAAAAATCAAATTTGTGCTTAAAACATTCCCACAAAAAATAAAAAAACTACAGGTCCAAATGCTTCACTGGGAAATTTTATCAAACATTTAAGGAAGAGATGGTACCAATGCTACACAAACTTGTCTAAAATACAGTGAAGAAGGGAACACTTTCCAACAAATATTACATAGCCAGTATTACCCTGATACCAAAGTCAAGCAAATACATAAGAAAAGGACACTACAGACTAATATTTATCATGAACATAGTAAAAATCCTTAACAAAATATTAACAAACGAAATCTTCCAGCATGTAAAACTTTCCTTTATATACCATGACTATGTGGAGTCATCCCAGGAATGCAAGAGTGGTTTAATATCCATAAATTAATTAATGGAATACGCACATTAACAGAACAAAGTACAAACACCAAATGATCATCTCAACAGATGCAGAAAAAAGAACCCCTACCCTCCAAATATAACATTCAATAAACCAGACATAGAAGAGAACTTCTACAACCTGATAAGGAGCATCTACAAAAACCTACAGCTAACATCATACTTAATGGTAACATGAATGCTTTCCCCCATCAGAAATGAAGCAAGGATGTTCACTTTTACCACTTCTATTCAACCTTATACTTGAGCTTCTAGCCATTGCAATAAAGTGAGAAAAGTAAATTAAAAGCATACAGATTAGAAAAGAAGTTAAAGTGTCTTTCTTTGCAGATGACATGATCTCATATGCAGAAAATCCTAAAGAATCTACAAGCTAAAAAAATTACTAGAACTAATAAGCAATTTTAGTAAGATGAGAGGATGCAAGACTAACATATAAATATCAACTGGATTTCTACTTAATAGCAACTAAAAGATAAAAAATAAAATTAAGAAAATAATCCCATTCACAATAGCATCAAAAAGTGAAATACTCAGTGTGATGCTCAATATTAGATATCAACTGGACTGGATTGAGGGATGCCTAGCTGGTTAGTGAAGCACTGTTTCTGGGTGTGTCTGTGAGGGTGTTTCCAGAGGAGATTGACATGTGGAGTCAGTGGACTGGGAGAGGAAGAGCCACCCTTGATGTGAGTGGGCACCATCTAATCAGTAATGGGTGTGATTAGAACAAAGCAGGTGGAACAAGGGGGATACTCAGATTGCTTACCTTCCTCCCTCTCTCCCTTTTGCAGTGAGGCACCTTTTCTCCTCCTGCCCTTAGACATCAGACTCCAGGTTCATCTTCCTTTGGACTCTAGGTCTTGCACTAGCAGCCTGCCTGGGGCTCTCAGGCCTTCACCCTCAGACTTATTCAGGACTGCATTGTCGGCTTCCCTGGTTTCAAGGCTTTTGGACTTGAACTGAGCCACACTACTGGCATTCCCTAGCTTACGGATGACCTATTGTGGAACTTCACATTTTTAATCATGTGATCCAATTCTCCCTAACAAACTTTCTTTCATATATATATATATATATATGACTATATACATATAAATATATATATATGAATATATACATATACATACATGTACATATACATATATATTTCCTACTGGCCTTGTCCCTCTGGAGAAACCTGACAAATACATTCAGGAATTAACATATCACAAGAAGTTCAAGACCTATACTCTGACAACTACCAAACATTGCTATGAAGAGCTAAAAATTGGAGAAATATGTCACACTCGTAAAATGGAAAATTCAACATTGTTCAGATGGTAATCTCTTCAAATTAACCTACAGATTCTCCACAACTCCATTAAAATCCTAGCAGGTTTTCTAACACCGCATGTTCTCACTCATAAGTGGGAGTTGAACAATGAGAACACATGGACACAGGGAGGGCAACATCACACACTGGGGCCTGTCAGGGGGTGCGGGGCAAGGGGAGGGAGAGCATTGGACAAATACCTAATGCATGTGGGGCTTAAAACCTAGATGATGGGTTGATGGGTGCAACAAACCACCATGGCACATGTATACCTATGTAACAAACCTGCACTTTCTGCACATGTATCCCAAAACTTAAAGTGAAAAAAAAAAAAAACTAGCAGGTTTTATTTATTTATTTATCTACTTATTTGTAGAAACTGACAAAATTGAATAGAAAGAACTTGGAAAATATATGCTATCTGACTTCAAAACTTACTATAAAACTAGCATTCCTAAGTTTATGTGGTATTGGTATAAGGATAAATTTATAAATCAATAGAACAGAGATATAAGAAGTAAACCCATTTATGGCAATTGGCTTTGGTAAATGTGCCTATATAATTTAATGGGGGAAAGGACAGACTATTTGACAGTGATGCTAGAACTATATGACTATATGCAAAAAAGAACTTAGACTCTTACCTCACACCATACACAAAACTTAACTCAAAACATATCACATCCCTAAATGTAAGACTAAAAATATAAAATGTGTAGAAGAAAACAGGAGAACATTGTTGCAACCTTGCATTAGATGAAGATTTTATAAAAAGCAAGCAAGACCCACAAAAGAAAAAATTTTGACTTCATCAAAATTTAAAAATCTTTTTCTTCAAAAGAAACAATTAGAAAACGAAAAGACAAGCTACAGACTGGAAGAAAATATTTGCAAACAACACATCTGATAATATACTTGCATATAAAATATATTTTAAAACTCAAATAATAAGAGGAAAAACAACCCAATGATAACATTGGCAAAAGATGTGGACACTTCTGCAAAGAAAATATACAAATGGCCAATGTACACATGAAAAAGTGCTCAAATCATTAGTCACTAAGGAAATGCAAATTAAAATCACAATAAGATACTACTGCACACTTACTAGAATATTATCACAAAGACTGACAATACCAAGTGTTAGAGAATTGTGGAGAAAGTGATGCCCTTATACATTGCTGATGGAAATGTAAAATACAGCCACATCTTACCACACAACCCGGCAACTTCAATACAAAATATTAACAAACCAAATAAAATAAAATAAAAACATACATCAACACAAAGAATTGTATGTGAATATTCATAGCAGCATTATTGATATTCCCAAGCTGAAAACCAACCAAATATCCATCATAGTTTAACCAACTGTTAAATAAAGTATTGTATATCCATATAACAGAATACTACTCAGCAAGAAAAAGGAACTACTGATATATGTAACAACATGGATGATCCTTAAAAACATTATGCTAAGTGAAAAGAGCCAGATATAAAAGAAAGCACGCTATGTGATTCTATTTATATAAAATTTCTAAAAAGAACACCTATAAAGACAGAAAGCGCCTCTGACTGGGGCTTGGGGTTGACTGCAAACAGGTGTAAGGAAACTTTTGGAGTAATAAGTGTTCTAAAACTGGAGTAGGTGATGATTGCACCACTGTATAAATTTACAAAATAACAGCATTATACATTTACAATGGCTGGATTTTATGATATATAAATCATACATCAAGCTGTTAAATACTTTTAAAACGAGTTGAGCTATGAAAGATAAAATGGAAAGACATCCATGATATATTAGTAAGGTTTTAAAAAAAAGAATATGCAACAAATTGTTAATAGTGGTTGCTCCTGAGGGTGGAACTGCAGGAGGAGGATATAGATTTTACACTTGTTTGTATAATTTTTAAAGTTGTAGAATAATAGATTTATCGATTAATTCTATTTTTTATTTTTGTTTCTATGGTTTCCTTTATAGAAAAAGCATGAGCGACCAGTTTCTATTAACTTAAAACATGACTACAACCTTTTAAATCCCATAAAAGTCAACTCAAAAATGTCCATCCTCATTTAGTGAAATTCACCTTAAAATATATAATTATTTTTTTCCTGTTTGGAAATACCAGATTTATAATTTAGAATTCCATTTCTTACTATTTAACATGTTCCTCAAACAAGAGCTTCACATAATTATGAGAAATGTCCAAAAAAGAAAAGCAGTAATTTTTTTCAAGTCATATTAATAAAGCATTGCCATATATTGAACATCTACTATGTGCCATATGTTTGACATACATATTATTTAATCCTTACAAAGCCCTCCAAAAGAAACATTTAATATTAGTTTTTCATGAAAAACAAGTGGGGGCCGGGTGCAATGGCTCACGCCTGTAATCCCAACACTTTGGGAGGCCAAGACGGGAAGATCACTTGAGGTCAGGAGTTTGAGACCAGCCTGGCCAACACGATGAAACCCCATCTCTACTAAAAAATACAAAAACTAGCCAGGTGTGGTGCCATGTGCCTGTAGTCCCAAATACTAGGGAGGCTGAGGCAGGAGAACTGCTTCAACCCAGGAGGCAAAGGTTGCAGTGACCCAAGACCATGCAACTGTACTCCAGCCTGGGCGACAGAATGAGACTCCATCTCAAAAAAAATAAAACAAAATAAAAGAAGTGGATGATTGGCGAGGGAAAGGGTGAACAGCAGGCACAGAGAGGTTAAGGAACTTGCACTTGTCACACAGCCAGTAGATTGCAGAGCCAGAATTCAAACTCAGTGTCTATTTTCTTTCCATTATACCATACTGCTCACCTCTGTCATCAGATAATTTCCTGTTGCCCAAGAGACTCATCCTGTGGAAAGGACATGTGATCTAGAGAACACTTGCTGCTGACCCATCTGTGACTGCTGGTAGTACCTTGACCCACAGTACCAAGTGAATACCCAGATGCCTTCACCACACTGATCTATCTAGACTTACAGTGTGAGGACCAAACCCATTTCCTGACAGGCAGTATGGCCTCATGACAATGAGTCACAAAGACTTGAATTCAAATCCTAGCTCTGCCACCATGGCTACGTGGCTGAAGGCAAGTTACACAATTCTAGCCATTGCAACTCCTCTCTTGCTTTGCTGGTTCATGTTTCTATAGCATTTACAGGTATGGCTATTTCTGCCTGGAATGTCCTTACAACTTGGCTTGGAAATCACTGGATAGTAGTTAAATCAGCGACTTTGGGGGCAGAAGACCTGAGTCTGAAATCTGGTTCTACTATTTCCGAGTTATATAACTTTGTGAAGTCAGATAAGCAGCTTCCTTGGCAGTACAAAACTATTACCTAAACCTGCATCTCCCAATGATATGAGAATTCAGCAAAATAAGGTGTGATGAGCTCAACATCTGGCATCAGTGCACAGTAAGTAGCAGTTTATATTAGAGCAAATTAGTTGCTTCAAATCTTTCCATGTGGGATACCAATCAATCAATCACCCAGCCCTAACTTCTACTTGCTATGTGGCCCAATTGGCTTCTGTGCCCAGAAAGTGCATGTCTGACTTGGGTAAGCCCATCTCACACAGGTCTGCAGTTAGTCAAAAGAGGACTTGGGTGAGAAAATATAGATGACTCAAACTCCATACCACAAGGCAGTTTGGGAGTAGAAACAAACACAGGATGTGGTGTCCAAAGAACTTCCTTCTGGTGCCAACTCCACCACTTCTAGGTCAGGTAATCCTGCACTAACTCCATCAACTTTCTGAGCCTCAGTTTCCTGAGTGAGAGATACCTCCCAAGTAAGAATCAAAGGCTTTGAATGGGATCAGTGGAGTCTGAAATTACTTTGAAACCAGTAAACCTTTATAGAAAATAGGATAGGAAATGCACTCAATGCCTTATTGTGTTCATGGAATGTTTTTATGTACAAAGCACAGCATGCTTGCTCTCTGTGTCACGTAAGCACATATAAAAATGACAAGCAAAAAGAGTAGGAATAGAAAAAATTGGATAGACTCAAATCTTTCTAAGAATCATGGCGGGAGTAACCTAGTAGGAGCAAGGAAAATATTTTCTTCAATGTATGTTATGAATCCCCTCAACAGACCTACAGAGTGCTCAATATTACAATCATGGCCTTCAGTCACAAAGACTCAGCGTCTCTATCTTTCAAACAGAGACCTCTCACAAGAAACTGGAAGAGTAACTGTGGCATGCATTTAAACCTGATCTAGCTAGGTAGCCACTACTATTTCCCCAGCCTTACAAGGAAATGCCTTATGATCATGCTCATCCACAGCTGAGGAACATCGCCATTCCCAACCCCTCACCCCACACCATCTAAACCATCCCAGAAAGATGACTGTCAGAGTCACACTACCCAGAAGGCCTCTGGGGCTTGACCTGGTGACCTAAGAATTCTTTTTTATATTCTTATTAATGGAAGAAGAAAGCAGCCCAGTAATCTCATTGTAACAGCTTGGAATCAAGAGAATTTCCCTAGCTAGAGAGAAAGCACATTGCTCTTCTAAAGAATTTCCAGAGAAAGAGATTTCTGCAACCTCATTTGGTAACCTGTTCCATGTCTAACAACTGTCAACTCGTAGCTATGGGGCAGCAAACAAATATTTGGGGAAGGGATTGTGTATCACTTTCTTCTTATTGTGGGAAATGGTTCAATTCTGCATGTGTTTTAAATCAGCAAGATCTGCCATATTGGGTGGGGAGATGGTGTTTCTTAGAAACCCTCCAAACTGAGAACTGGAGGGTCAGATGCATACCTGGTTTTATCCTTAGCTCTATTTAGAGCAAGGGTCAAAGCCTGGGGCTTCATAGACATAATCCAGCTTGCAGTAGAGTTCTGAGTGGCAGGTACTGTATTCTTTTAAATCTTGATTTGAATGCCTTTGTCAGCTTTGGGGGCGTGCGAGGAGTTATGCAATCACCAGTTCCCTCAGGCTCCATCACTACCTGTTGGTTACACAGTTCAATCACTCACTTAGCCATAAGTCCTTAGCGAAAATAATCAAGCCCCTTCTAGGGTCAGGCTGTGCAGAATTTTCTCTTCTAGGTATTGGAAAAACAATGGAGAGAAAAACTTTTTTTTTTAATCCTTGCTCTTTTGGAGATTACATTTTAGTAGGGATAGACAATACCCAATAAATCAAATAAATTACATAGTGTAGATATAGTATACTAGCAAGTGATTACTCAGGGGGATTAGGAATGCAAGGAGGAGGTGGTTCCTATGCAAGATGCAAGTGAAATTTGAGGATACACCTGAAAGACATGAGGAGTGGACCTCATGGAAATCTGGGGGAAGAGTGTTCCAGGCAGGGGAACAGCGAGCGCAGAGGTCCTGGGAGGGGGAACAGCAAGAAGACAAATACAGCTTGTGTTGGGGCGTGCATTACCTGGAAGGCCCTTGAAGGCAGTCAATTTTGTAAAAGCTACTCTAGTGACCAGTGAAGTAAATAAACCCAGTCCTAATCCTTTACCTACGTAGCATCCCAGCTTAGGTATGGTATTGCCATTTGATGATAAGATGATGAAATAAAGGCCAAATACTCTCATTTATATCAGTGACCCCAACATTCTGCCAAGAACTGAAACTCAAATAGCCTCTACCTCCTTCCTCTCCATTGTTGCCAAGTCCAGTTACGCCTGCCTTCCTAAAGCCTCTCAGTCTCAGCCCTCCTATTTATTCCTCTGCCAATAGTCTAATCTAGCCATTTATTATTAAAAATATTAAGCACCTATATGTGCCAGACACAGAGAACATATCCTGGTCAAGAGAGACGTGGTCCCAGTCTTCCCAAAGTTTATAGTTTAAAAAAAAAAAAATCTCAGCCTCTGAAACTCATCAGGATGTCTGCCTCCTGACATCCTTAAATTTAGTTTCTTCTCTGCCAGCCATTCTGAATCTGTTGCAAGACTGGTCAATCTCAAACTCAGGATGATTCTAGAGGAGCTCCCCATTGGTCTGAGCCAGCTGTCTCACCTACCCCTGTATCGTCAATTCTAGCCTCCCTTTCCTTCTTCCTATTAGAAACCACCTATTACAGCTAGGATTCGATCCTTGATGTTCCCATCTCAGCGCTTCTGACCATTCTATTCCTCCAGTTCCAATTGTCTTCTCTTAAGAGTTCAAGAGTCACTTTTTGCCCTACATCCTTTCTCAAGTTTTCTCCAGTGGGTAGAAGTAGGGAGGTCTCCATTTCTTTTCTTTTCTTTTTTTTTTTTTTGAGATGGAGTCTTGCTTTGTCGCCCAGGCTGGAGGGCAGTGCTGCGATCTCGGCTTATTGCAACCTCCGCCTCCCGGGTTCAAGTGATTCTCCTGCCTCAGCCTCCTCAGTAGTTGGGATTACAGGCGCACACCACCACGCCCAGCTAATTTTTGTATTTTTAGTAAAAACAAGGTTTTGCCATGTTGACCAGGCGGGTCTCAAACTCCTGACCTCATGATCTGCCCACCTGGGCCTCCCAAAGTGCTCTCAATTTCTTTTGACCCTTCATTTTTTTTACACTTCCTGGGTCTAATATAACCCAGGCTCTGGGTAAGCAAAACATAGCTCCTGCCCTCCTGAAACATAAAATCTAGTAGGGAAGACATACATTAATCCAAAAAGTGAAATATCTTATTATTTTGTTTCATTTTATGGTATTTTATTCTTGATTTATAGAATGATTTTATTATTTGATAACAAAAAATGAATGATTCACGAACCACATGGAGTTCTATGAAAGAGACGTACAAGGCACTGTGAAAACATTTAATAAGTGAAATAAGACTTAGTTGGAGGTGGTATTGGTAGAGAAAATGCTCCTTCCTTGAAGAACTAACTTTTGAATTAAGGTTTGGGGCAGCACTATCCAATGGAACTTTCTACAATAATGAAAATGTGCTATATCTGTGCTGTTCAGTATAATAGCCACCATGTGGCTATTGAGCACTTGAAATTTGGCTGGAGCAAAAGAGGAAGTGAATGTTTAATTATATTTAATTGTAATTACTATAAATTTAAATGGCATTGTGGGTTCAGCAACTATTGGATTGGATAGCTTAGGTCTAAGGATGAACAGGAGTTAGATATGCTGGTGGAAGGTAGGAAGGATATGCAGCCAGAAGAAAGAATCTGGGTAACAATTCTTACGCTAAAGGGAGCATTGCATGTTTGAGGACATGACAGAAGGAAGGTGTGGCTGGAATGCAGAGAGCCAGGAGAAGCATCATGAGATGAGCCAGGAATGCAAGTCGAGACAGGCCATGTAGGGCCCTGAAGGCCATGTTAAGGATTGAGTTCTACCCAAATACAGGCATACCTCATTTTATCGTGCTTCACTTTATTGCACTTTGCAGATATTACATTTTTTACAAATTGAACGTCTGTGGCAACCCTGCAGTAAGCAAGTCCATTGCTGCCATTTTTCCAACAGCATGTGCTCACTTCATTAGCATTTTTAGCAATAAAGTATTTTTTAATTAAGGTACCTTTTTTTTAGATACAGTGCTATTGCACACTTAATAGACTACGGTACAGCACAAACAAAACATTTATGTATGCTGGGGAATCAAAAAATTCATGTGACTTGCTTTATTGAGATATTTGCTTTGTGGCAGTGGTCTGGAACTAAAACCGCAGTTTGAGGTATGCCTCAGGCATATCTGGTATCATTGTGCTTTGCTTTACCGCATCTTGCAGATTGTGTTTTTTACAAATTGAAGGTGTGTAGCAGCTCTGCAAAGAGCAAGTCTATCAGTGTCATTTTTCCAATAGCTCATGTCACCTCATGTCTGTGTCACATTCTGGTAATTCTTAATAATATTTCAAACTTTCATTAATATTATATCTGCTATGATAATATTTGATGTTACTATTGCATTTGTTTTGGGGCACCACAAACTGCACCCATATAAGACGGGCAAACTTAATAGATAAATGTGGTGTGTGTTCTCACTGCTCCACAGACTAGCTATTCCTCATCTCTCTCCCTCTCCTTAGGGATCCCTACCCCCGAGACACAACTTTGAAATTAGGCCAATTAATAACCCTACAATGGTCTCCAAATGTTCAAGTGAAAGAAGGAGTCATAGTCTCTCACTTTAAATGTAAAGCTAGAAATGATTAAGCTTAGTCAAGTAGGCATAGGGAAAGCCAAGACTGGCAAAAAGATAGGCCTCTTGCACCAAATAGTCAAGCTGTGAATGCAAAAGAAAGTTCGTAAGGAAAACTAAAAGCGCTACTCCAGTGAACACCTGAATAAGAAAGTGAAACAGTCTTATTGCTGATATGGAGAAAATTTGAGTGGTCTAGATAGAAGATCAAACCAGCCACAACATTCTTTAAGTCAAAGCTTAATCCAGAGCACAGTCCTAACTCTTCAATTCTGTAAAGGCTGAGACAGGTGAGGAAGCTACAGAATGAAAAGTTTGAAGCTACCAGAAGTTGGTTCAGGAGGTTTAAGTAAACAAGCCATTTCCATAATATAAAAACACAAGGTGAAGCAGCAAGTGCTGATGTAGAAACTCCAGCAAGTTATACAGATGATTTGGGTAAGACAATCAATGAAGGTGTCTACACTAAACAACATATTTTTAAGGTAGGCAAAACAGCCTTATATTGGAAGAAGATACCATCTAGGACTTTCACAGCTAGAGACAAAAAGCCAATGCCTGGCCTCAAAGCTTCAAAGGACAAGCTGGCTCTCTTGTTAGGGGCAAATGCAGCTGGTGACTTAAGTTGAAGCCAATGCTCATTTACTATTCCAAAAATCCTAGGGCCCTTAAGAATTATGCTAAATCTACTCTGCCTGTGCTCTAGAAATGGAACAACAAAGCCTGGATGACAGCACATCTATTTACAGCATGGTTTACTGAATATTTTAACCCTGCTGTTGAGACTTACTGCTCAAAGAAAAGAGATTCCTTTCAAAGTGTTACTCCTCATTGACAATGCACCGAGTCACCAAAGAGTTCTGATGAAGATGTACAAGGAGATGAATGTTGTTCTCATACCTGCTAACACAACATCCATTCTGCAGCCCATGGATCAAAGAGAAATTTCAGCTTTCAAGTATTATTATTTAAGAATTACATTTTGTAAGGATATAGCTGCCATAGATAGTGATTCCTCTAATTGATCTAGATAAAGTAAATTGAAAACATTCTGGAAAGGATTTACCACTCTAGATGCCATTAAGAACATTCATGATTCATGGGAGGTCAAAATATCAACATTAACAGGAATTTGGAAGAGGTTAATTCCAACCCTCATGAATGACTTTGAGTGGCTCAAGACTTAAGTGGAGGAAGTTACTGCAGAGGTAGTGGAAATACCAAACGAACTAGAATTAGAAGTGGACCCTGAAGATGAAATTGAATTGCTGTAATCTCATGATAGAATATGAACCGATGAGGGGCTGCTTCTTATGGATGAACAAAGGAAATGATTTCTTGAGATGGAATCTACTTCTGATAAAGATGATATGAACAATGTTGAAATGACAACAAACAATTTAGAATAGTACATAAACTTAACTGATAAGGCTAAGGTCTGAAAGAACTAACTCCAGTTTTGAAAGAAGTCCTGCCATGGATAAGATGCTATCAAACAACATTGCATGCTACAGAGAAATCTTTTGTGAAAGAAAGAGTCAATCAGTGCAGCAAACCTTACTTAAAAAATTGCCTTACTTAAAAAAATTACCACAGCCACCTAACCTTCAGCAACCACCACCCTAATTAGTAAGCAGCTATCAACATCAAGGTAAAACCCTCCACCAGGAAAAAGACTACAACTCACTGCAGGCTTCGATGATCATTAACACATTTTTTGGCAATTTTTAAAAATTAAGTTATATACTTTTTTTAGACTAATGCTATTACACATTTAATAGACTGCAATATAATGTAAACATAACTTTCATATGCACTGAGAAACTCAAAAATTCATGTGAGCTTTGTTGCAATATTCACCTCATTATGGTGTTCTGGAACTGAATTTATCATTATGCCTGTAGTAGAGTGATAGATGTTGAAGGGCTGTAGCAAAAGAGTGACATGATCAGTTAGCACTAGAGGAAAAAAAAAACACTTCAAATGCAAGAATAGAGAAAAGAAAAATGAATATCAAGACATCAGTTAGGTTCTTGGAATAATATTCCATGCAA
This sequence comes from Homo sapiens, assembly GCF_000001405.40. Lineage (NCBI taxonomy): Eukaryota > Metazoa > Chordata > Mammalia > Primates > Hominidae > Homo > Homo sapiens. The sequence goes on along the minus strand of NC_000001.11, from coordinate 59,326,643 downwards.
AATATAAAGGTATATGGTGCTAGAGATAGAGAGAATGCATAGGTTTGACCCATCTGAGTTCTGCCTTATCACATACCACCTGGGTGACCTTAGGAAAATCACTTAACTCTCTGGCCCTCAGTTTTTCAAATGTAAATGGGAATAACAACTTCTTCCCTACTTCACCCTGCAATAGCAATCAAATGAAAATGAAGATGCACTGTAAACTATAATGGTTCTATGAATATAAGGTTAACATTATTGCTCAACCCGACATGTGGCTACTCTTTCTTCTGTCCCCCTCCCCACAACCACTACTCATATAGATAGCACCAAGACAGAACAAAATGGTACTTTACTGGCTTCATATGTGTTGTTTATTTTTCTCATACAATTAAGCTGTTTCATCTTTAAAAGCAGCAGACTTCTTGTATACGTCTCCTCTATATGCTCCAATGCTTAGCAAAGAGCATAGCACATAGTTAAGTGCTCAATAAATGTTTGCAGACTAAATGAAAGAATGATACTCAACAAACACCTGTTGGCTAAATGATTCCTCCAGCTTATCTTCTCCTTCTTCCTAAGAGAAGTTTAGTATGAATCATGCACTAATTTGAAATGTTCTCACCTTTTTGGAATGATTAAGATTTGTGGCTCCATAAAGGAACCTTTAAAATCGTGGACTGCATATAACCTCTATGACTTGTGAGTTTCCATAAAACCTCTTAGGTGTGCGGCTTACCAGCCCAATAAAACCTGCCAAATTTAGGGAATGTAGGGAGGAAGACAGAGAGGAAGATTTGGAGCCATCTCACCAGGGTTCTGGTCTTGTCTCCAATACTTGTTAGTTCCAGAGCCTCAATTTCCTCATATTTCAAATAGGAAGAATAGTTGTCCTTCCTGCCCCACAGTGACACTGAAACAAGATAAGGAATGCTAGATTGGATTTTGTCTCTTTGTTTTTAGCTCTAAGTAACATTCATTCAACAGCCATTAATTGAGCACCTAATTTGTGCCAGGCAATGTGTTAGATACTGGAGACATAAAGATGAATCTCTCTAAGAGCTCAGCTCATAGTTTAAAAGGGGGTAAACAAGCCAACAAGTAAAATGCAAAGATAAGGAGTAGAAAGTGATCTGGGTGAAGATGGTGGGCTCTGGACAGTAGAGAGGGGCTTCTCACCCTCTCTTTCTGCTGAGGTTGGTAAAAAAGGGCATAGACTGTCAGAAGTCACCAAGGAAGACACTCAGGAGACAGGAATGTTTAAGCTTACTGTTTTTGTTGTTGTTGTTGTTGTTGCTGTTGTTGGACACGGAGTCCCACTCTGTCTCCCAGGCTGGAGTGCAATGGCGCAATCTCGGCTCACTGCAAGCTCCGCCTCCCAGGTTCACGCCATTCTCCTGCCTCAGCCTCCCAAGTAGCTGGGACTACAGGCGCCCGCCACCACACCTGGTTAATTTTTTTTTTGTATTTTTAGTAGAGACAGGGTTTCACCATGTTAACCAGGATGGTCTCAATCTCCTGACCTCGTGATCCGCCCGCCTTGGCCTCCCAAAGTGCTGGGATTACAGGCGTGAGCCAACACGCCCCGCCTAAGCTTACTTTATAAGGTGGGAGTTGGGCAGGTGAGGAAGTTAAGAGAAGAGTATTCCAGACAATGTAAACAACAGAGATATATCATTCATTTATGTACTCAACAAACATTAATTGAACACACTACAAGCAAAGAATTCTAGAGAAATACAGATAAACTAGATATAACCCCTGCTGAGGGGGCACACACTTCCCAGATGAGCAGGCAACCAGGTAAAGGCACTCGTAATCCTGGGTAACCTCATGATGCCCCATGTGTAGAAAATCTAAAAATTTCAGGCTACTTCTTATCAGTTCCAGGTAGGGTCATGTGGAGGGAGATATGGCTGGAGAGAGACAAGGGACAGAGCATGAGAGCAGTAGCAGTGGCAGGGACAGCGTCCCCTTCTTCTTATTCAGGAGACCTTAGGCTGCTTACTGAACCTCTTCAAAGCTCATTGTTTTTCTATCTTCAAAACAGAGAGAACAATCAAAACTACCTTAAAAAGTAGTTATTGGCCGGGCGCGGTGGCTCACGCCTGTAATCCCAGCACTTTGGGAGGCCGAGGCGGGCGGATCACGAGGTCAGGAGATCGAGACCATCCCGGCTAAAACGGTGAAACCCCGTCTCTACTAAAAATACAAAAAATTAGCCGGGCGTAGTGGCGGGCGCCTGTAGTCCCAGCTACTTGGGAGGCTGAGGCAGGAGAATGGCGTGAACCCGGGAGGCGGAGCTTGCAGTGAGCCGAGATCCCGCCACTGCACTCCAGCCTGGGCGACAGAGCGAGACTCCGTCTCAAAAAAAAAAAAAAAAAAAAAAAAAAAAGTAGTTATTATAAGGATAAAATGAAGTGATGGGTAAAAGCTCTTCAGTATAGTACCTGGACCAGTGTGCCCAAGAACTGTTAGCTGTCTTTGTCATCATCATTGACACCACATTATCCTTACTGTTGCTTTAACTAAGAGGAAAGTCATCTCAGGCAATGTGAATGACTTAGGGAAAAGGAATTAGAACAACTGCTCTGAAGCTCTCAACTTCCTGGAGTCCATGAGGAAGAAAAGACAGACCAGGACATATCTGATGCCACCCTTTGCCCTAGACCAGTGTTTCTCAAAGTGTTACACAGTAAGAACCCTAACCAGGAGAGTGAATGAATATTCCCAAGAAGCGCCTCCCCCGCCGTAGACTTTGACTTTTCAGTATTTTGTCTTAGAAATTCACTATCTTCTATAATCTGCTCATTTTCTGTCACCATCAGCACCACCATAGGAAACAACCCATACACATTTCTAGGCAATGTTATGACATCCTATGTGCATTAATTCATTTAATCCTCACAACAATCCTATGGAAGTAGGTACTAATGTCATTTCCATTTTACAGATAAGGAAACTGAAGCAAGAAACATTAGGTAACTTGTCCAAGATCACAACCTAATAAACGTTGTAAGTGGGATGTCAATCTAGGCAGTCTGGCTGCAGAATCTGTGCTCTATAACAGGTCACCTACCTCTCTCATTCCTATGGTGTTATTATCTCTCTAACATAAAAATGCTTCCCTCCCTAAGCCTCACACCAGCAATGATGTTCCATATAGATGTAACATGCTTATCCTGTGGCTTCTGGCACATGCCCACATATCCATACTCCATCTGAGGAGAATCGCCTAAGACCCAAGGGCTTCATTTAGGTTTGCTATAGTGCAATAGCATTGCTATCGACAGATGTCCATGGTACTTATGCAGCTAACAGGGCTCAAACAGATGATAAGTTGGCCACCACTGGGAGATGATTAAAAATCTACCATTAAACCAGCTGTACTTAGAGTAGACCTTTTTTAAAGTAGCTTTTCATCAGGGGATTATATTTTCTTCTTGATAATTTCCTTAACGGCAAGCAAGGCTGTATGTTAAAAGAAGAAAGAAGGCCCAAGTGCAAAGAGTAGAAGATTCTTACCAGATTGGGGGCTGAAAGGAGGGGAGAGGAGAGGAAAATTAAATGGGCAAAAGAGAAGATGCATCCCTCTTTTATTCCTGTATAATGCTCTGGTACTGCCTACCCACTCCCTCCTCTCTCTGCCTTCTTCTCCGGGGGCACTAACAGCAGCCCAGAATTCATTAAAGTTTAAACAGACTGATCAATAGGGACAGAATGGTGAATTGTCCATCTGCAAATTACCAAGCACCTCATGAATATTTAAGGAACTAAACTAGGAACAGGGAAAAGAAGGAATCCAGGACTTTATTTTTCCCCATGGAAAAAAAGACAAAAGGACCTCTGTCATTACTGATCACCAAGACATAAAATCAAACAGTCAAGTGAAACTTTAAAAACAAACAAGAATTGTGAAGCATTGCTTTCCTTCCCAAGCCAGCAGGCTGCATCCAATCCAAGGCCACTCAGGGTGAACATATGCCTGGCATATATGGGAGACACTCTAATCTGACTCCTTTGCTTTATCAGAACACACCATGTTTTCGTGCCACCATGCCTTTGCATATGCTATTCCCTCTGCCCAAAATGCAGTTCCTCTCATCCTCATTTGTCCACTTGGAAGGCAGCAGAGTCCAATGGTTAAGAGTGCACCTCGGAGGCAAAGGTATAGGAATGATACAATTGGACTTTGGGAACTCGGAGGAAAGCGCTGGGGGGTGGTGAGGAATAAAAGACTACACATTGGGTACAGTGTACACTGCTTGGGTGATGAGTGCACCAAAATCTCAGAAATCACCACTAAAGAACTTACGTAACCAAACACCACCTGTTCCCCAAAAACCCATTGAACTTTTTTTAATTAAAAAAAAAAAAAAAAAAGAGCGCACCTCTGGAGTCAGACTGCTTTGTTCTAGTCCTGCCTCTGCTACTTACTGTGTGAACTTGAGTAAGTTACCTAACTTTTCTGTGCCTACATTTCTCCCTCAATAAAATAGGGGTAGTGACAGTATTACCTTTATAGGGTCATGTGAAGATGCAACTACACAGTGCAAGTTAACACATTTTACACAGCCTTTGGCACACATTAAAGGCGTGGTAAATGTTAATAAGGTGATCAGTGAATTCTTCCACATGTGGTCACACCTCAAGCTGTCCTGTCTTCCCTGAGCCCCCTCCGGTTAGCTCTTTCCCCAGCTCCAGCTATAGTTACTTTGATCCCAGCTCTTACCATATATTAGCTGTTTATCAGTCTCTGCCAGTAGACTGTGAGCTCCTGAAGGGCAAGGCCTATGTCTTGCTTACCTCTGCATCTAAAGTTACCCCAACATTGTTTACGGCACCAGATTGACACACGACACTCAGCAGGTAGGAATATGAACAAGGAGAGAACACCAGTTTTGCCCATACCTTTGTGACAACACAGCACGCAGCCCAGATGTCCTCGGAGGACTGCTCATGGTGGTTGAACTGGGGCTCCCAATTCTTAATTGGCTGGTCTGCAAAAGCCAACAGGACCCCACTCTGGTCCACCAGAGCTGCACGGACACTGCCTGTTCCAACGTCCACACCCACATAGTACCTCTCTGGTTTCTGTTCTCCACCAGACATTGCAGTTCCTCCACCTATAGTAAGCAAGTGTAAAAACCATATGAAGACCAAGTGGATCTGCAAAGACAGTCACAAAACATCTCAAAAGTAGAAATAAAAGAGGTACCGCTACCTAACCGGTAGCCATTTGTTATTTATTCATCCAACAAACATTTTTAGTGATAACAGTATACTAATAAACATTGAGCTACATGGTGGGTGAACAGCACAGATATGGCCTCAGACATGGCATTTCCACTCTTGAGAGAGAGTCAGGATTTAAATACATAATTATTTAGGCAAAGTTGTGATGAGTGCTGTAAGGGCAAGTACAGGGTGGTAGGAGAACTTAGAATCTGGAGGCAATGGAGATGAGTTTCTTCTCAGTGAATTTCAATCAACAAGAACAGAAGCCAAGGTACTGAAAAGGAACCTTGTCCTCCTAGTCAGTCATTCATTCAACAATTACCTACTAAGTACCTCTTACACGCAAGCACTGTGAAAAGTGCTTATGTCCCCTTTACTCCTCACTATGACTCTAGAAGGTGAGGCTATTTACATCTCTGTTTTACAGGTGGTCAAGGTGAGATTCCAAGAGATAAGTAACTTTTTGCTTAATGCTAGCTAGGTCTACTCATAAATTCAAACAGTAAATGTACATTATTATAATGATACACACTACACTGATTAAGAAGCAAGTCTATGAGAAGTTAAGGAATTTAATCAGCTTCATTCAGGGGCAGCCTGGACCTAAAGTCCCATATTTGTGCAATCCCAAGTTTCATGCTCTTTCCTTTGTTTCTTAAAAGCTTTCTGTATAGGTTTGGAGAAGAGGCAAATATATTGCAGCTTTGTCATGAAGTGACTGGGAATTGGGAAGGAACCCCGAGGAGACAAGATCAGCAATTAGTTAGACAATCTGTTTTCCTTACAGACCCCTTGTGAGTTACAAGGAAATCTGACCAGAGAACATTCAGGAATTCCTTGGCCTTCATGGCTGCTCTAAGTCCCTTTGGTCAGATTAGCCCACATGACATGGAATCTCATAGAGGCTTTTATTTTCCAGATTGGCTTTGAAAGAATAAGAACAAGCCCCCAACACAACTGAGCAGGTGGATGCCCTACAACTCTCCAGGTGAGCTCAAGGCAGTTTTACCACCCAGAGTCTAATTTCAACCTGGGCAACCTTCTGCATCCTTCAACTTCAGAAAGAAAATGTTTCCCTAGCCAAGTCAAACATGGAGATTCTGAAAGAAAATCAACCAGCAGATGTTCAGTTACTGCTTCCTAGATATTTACTCCAGTAAAAAACAAATAAAACAATAAAAACTTCATTAAAAGTAATTGCTTCTGTCTTAATCACAATGATTTCCCAACAGAATTGTCCCCCTTTTGGCTCTGTGGCTCATGAGCAGGTGAAAAATAAAATGGAGAAGCTGCAGAAGTAACATTTGCTCCGTTCATAGGAGCTTCATCAGACCTCCACTGGTGTGTAACCTCAACTTCTCTCCCTTGCTTACATTCCCCTTGGGGACCTCCATATGACCATTAGCACCAGTTTTCAAATCATTCATTCCTTCATTCATTCAACAGTGATACCTTTTCTTCAAGCCATTATTTGAAGAAAACAAAACAGATAAAAACAGAGCTGCTCTGAAGCAAAGATCGCCCTTGCCCCACCCTCCAGCCCTTCCCCCCAGCAGTCCCTCTGCTAGGCCCTCTCTCAGGACAACTGAAAACCACCAGCTTTGAGCTGTGATATACCCCAGGGCCTCAGCACGGGATCTCACACCCTCCACAGGCTCCCTCTGCCTGCCATCCAGCCCCGCCTAATACAGTCCTGCTCATTCTCACTCCAGGCTACAGACATCCTCAAACTCCTCATAAGCTCTCAATTGCCCCCAGCTGCTAAAGGCTGCCCCAATCCTTTGCTCATCCCTTCCTAATTCTCTCCTTTCCTTGTCTGCCTGGTGACCACTGAATTATATTTTAAGACCCAGGTCAGCCATCAATTCTCCTTGGAAAAGGCTTCCTTCCCTTTCTCCCCTTGCATACATACAAAGGATGCCAACATGGTATCTTCTCCCTGCTTTCTTTTAAAACTTACCACTCTGGAATCACAATTTTATTTTTCTTTCCATGTCTGTCTTCCTAACTGAATCTGAAAAAAATGAACTTATTGATTTCTGTATCCCAAGCTCCTTGCACAGTGTCTGGCACATAATAGGTTTTCAGTAAATGTTTACTGAATGAACAACTGAATCAATGAATTAACAGAAACAAGGATGAACAGGTCCATGCCTGTTTTATTCATTTTACAACCACATTTTATTCATTCTACGGCACTCATTTTTCCATATTTAGCTTCTCTAAAACCAGTGAGAACCTTACAATCAATGGTATGTTACAATTAATTGGTATCATTTCCTTTCTTACTTCATGGTAATAATAAATAATGGTGCATCTTGCAATCAGTGACATCTGAGACTCAGAAGAAATGCAGAAGACAGTAACACCAGGAAGCCTGCTGAGGATACACTGATTGACAAAATAGGGGCAATGCCTTCGCTGAGTTTCCTCAATTTTATTAGCTGCAAACAGGAAGAAGATTGAAGCTAGCCACTCTACCTTCCCTCTACCAACCTCTCACAGCTGCTTACTTTACTTGGAATCCCCTCTCTGGGCTTCCCACTGTCTCTACTGCAAAGGCCCCCGGGGTGCTGCTCCTTAACACTGATCCTAGCATGCTAACAACTCTTTGCCCTTGGCAAGACTTTTGCAAGACTACTATAAACGCTTAGGAAGAAACAAAGAAATAAATAGGAAATGAAAAATCTATTCAATACCCTGGCTTACACAGACCTGGCCAGCCAGCATCCAGACTTGTCTCTACTCCAGCCAGCCCCGATGACAAGACAGATTCCCCATGGGGCTGGCCCACGTGCTCAGGCTTGGGTTCCTCACTTTTGACTCCCTCTCTGATGAAGAGAGTAATATGATAAAATACATCATCTTACCACCCTACCCACATTCTGATTCCTTTCCAGTAAAACCCAAAGAGGCAGATTTCCACTCTACAGTTAGCCCTGGGCTTGCTCCAGTTCTGGTTTCTGGCAGGAGCCCACCCTTCACATGGAGAATGGAGCGGTATGATTACAGTTAATTCCAGCTGCCGCCTGTGTCACAGCTGTAAGCCCAGTGCCTGGCATACAGCAGGAGCTCAGTAAGTCCTTGTAACTCAGTGAATGGATGTCTTTAAAATTCATCACTGGGGAAATAAAAAAAGGTACCATGTTTACCACATATCTGATATTCTGCTAAGCAGCTTGATTACAATGCCTGACCACAATTCTTGAAGACAATAACTATGATCACTCCCATTTTACTGATGAGGAAAATAAGTCCTAGATAGGTAAAGTAACTTGCTCCAGTATGCCATATTACTAGGCAGTAATACAATTGACAGTAATCCATTCCCTCCGGTTCCATCAGCCCTAACCTTTCTCAGGATGCTCCACTGCCTCCTGCTATTCCTCTATTTACTAAATGCCCATTTGTCAAGGACTCTGCTGGGGGCCTCTGCCTGCTGTGCCTAAGGTTGGCTGACTCAGAACCCAGGCTGTTCATCTTCAGAGACTGACCCTTCCACAACACCAGGTGGCCTGCTTCTAGCAAAATATGGATTTCTATAACTTATTACCAGGGCACCATGCAGCAAAGAGTCAAACCATCCCAGCGTCATTCACACACATCACCCAGTTCATGTTTTTCTATGAAATAGATCCTACTTGCATATTTCAGGTTCACCACTTTTCCCATTATTATAGTTTTAACTGATCTCTGTGATTATTTCCATACCTGGAACCTGAAAGCAGGGATGTTCAAGCCCTTGGGCAGCTTCCCTGAAATTCGACCTGTGAGCTCCAGCAAAGGACTTTCTGCATCATAGGTCCCCTGCTCTTCCCCCTCTATGCCCTTTGTTCCTGGGTCATGAATATGATCTGCTGCGTCCTAGACTCCTAATCTTATGCAACCAGTACCCCTTGGCCTCAAAAAGTAAAGTAACTGTAAAGTGGAAAGCATTATTCCTTTTTCTAGTTTGTAAAGTAAACAAGGATAAGGATCATCATCGTGTCACTTATTCCCACACAATGTTAATCTCATTCACAGAAACCCAATCAGTTTGGTAAACCTATCACCACTTTATTATACCTCAGAAGGGTGGAGTAATTTGCCCAAAGTGCCACAAACAGCAAATGGCATCAGGATTTGAACCACAGTCTCTTGCGGCAAGTTTAGGGCTCCTTCCACAACATCCAGCTAAAACTGAAAGCCAAACCCTTTGATTACTTCTTCAATAAGAACAACAAATGCAGCAAGAAATATCTATTGAGCTCTGAGCTGCAGATCACCATGTGACTCCATGATTTCATTTAATCCTTATAGCAACCCTGTGAGGTAGGCAGTATGAGCCCCATTTCCCAGCTAAGGAAAGTGAGGTTCTCAGACAGGAAGCTGTTTAAAGTTGCATGGTACAGAAGCACAGGGGCTGGGGTTTGAGGCTAAGTCAGTGTGACTCCAAAGACCGCATTATGAATGGTGAGAGTCGGAACTGGGGTTTCATTTCATTCTTCTTAGGCAAAGATAAATACTCTAAAAAGAAAACAGCTGTTAGGGATATGGGGAGGGTGGTCAGGCGGAAAGAAATGAGGGCACGGACTGTGGACGGCCAAGAGAAAGAAAAATAACAGAAATTCAAGCTGTGCTGCGTACAAGTCCTGGGACATACCTAACTTCTCAGTCTACAAGACATTTCAAAGCACAGAAACAGCCTCCTGTCCAAGTCCTCAGCATGGACTGGACTGACTTTTAGCCCCTATTTATGATCAAAAGACTGTTCTGTATAAATATTTATACAGTTCATTAAATAATAGCCTGTATAAATATTGTTAGAAATGTGCCACAGGAAACCACAGACTTTGTGGCTGATTCTTCAACAAATGTGCAAACTGCTCAAATGCAGTGTGAAAAAAGGAAAAGGGGACCTGGAAATAGAGGGCTGTCCTTTGCAAACGGGTTTTAGCAATCCTAAGAAGGGGGTACAAGCTACAAATACTGAGCTAAAAACCGATAATGTGGGGATTGTTCTTTTATACTTTTCCCCTTCTTTCCCTCTGAAGCATCTCAGAGCATTAAGATTGCTGCCTATGATGACAATCTCCCAGAAGCGGATGAGCTTACCCTATTTCTTAAGGCGCCACTCCTCCAGGATTTATTTGGTGACAGTGCACAGAAGCAGTGTCCCAGAAATCTGGGAAGGAATTCAGTATCCTCTTTCAACTTTGATCTTTGGACTTTGCTGGGAGTTGATGTACACAAGTCCTGTGCAATTTATTTAGTTAGTTATACTGCAATCAGGGATTTGCTAAGATTGGGAAGAAAAAAGATGAACAATGAGTTAAGCTTGCCCACCTCAGTCTTAATAGAAATGACTGAATACCACTTTCAACAATTTTTACATGCTCTAAGATGGTGGAAAAATTTGAAATGAGAAGGAAAGAGCTGATTTGGCAATAATAGTTGTTTCTCTATGGGCTCTACCAACAATAAATAGGAAGAAAAGACCAGCTTGCTAACCAAAACTTTACCTCTAAACATGAAAATTTCTTAAGGCCTCCTCTTCAGTTCTTTTTCGCCTTTCCCTCCAAGGGGAGACAGTTCTAAAAGTTTTAAGGTTGCCAAGACTGGCTCAAAAGAAACCCAAACACTTCCATGGTTCCCCAAACTTTTAGAGTCTGTAGCAATGGCACAACACATTTTTCATCTAGACATACCTGTGGCTTGGCGTAGTCTGTAAAAACGCGTATAAGCATATTTTCAGTCAAGTGCTCATTTTGTGGCATCCAAAGGAAGGAAGGGAGTAAGCAGGGAATCCATTCCCTGAATACTGAGAAGTGGAACCAGGCCCTTATCTAGCTCCTGGAAGAGCAGAACAATCTTTTATGCATCACTGATGTCTAACACTAATGCCTAACAAAGGACCTGGCTTGTTGCAGATCAAGAAAAATTCAAAAGAATCTGAGGAAAAGGAAAAGAGGGGGAAAGGAAAGGGAAGTGTGGTGGGGAGAGGGAAAAAAGGGAAATGGGGGAAAGAAGTGGGGGAAGGAGAGGAGAAAAGAGAAGGGAGGATGGGCAAGGAGGAAACTGAACTGGCAGTTAAGTGGAAGCCTGAGTGATTCACAGATAAGAAACTAAGAAATCCTTTGATTGATGGGAGGAGGGGAGAAGGAAAAAAAAAAGCAGACATATACCTTGGCTAACAAATGACATCCACTAAATTCTTCCTGCCCCAGAAAAGTCTATTAACATAATGCAGAGAAGGAACAGATTATGAAAATGTCAGTTCTCAGAAACCCAGAGGTAAATCCAAAGAAACAAAACACAAACCAACAAAACCCTTTCTCTACTCTGAGGGTCAGCCACTCACACCTGGAATGTTTCCTGTCACCAACTGGAGAGACCTCAAGAGCCCCAGTACCAAGAAGTTCACCTGTGGAACCCATGACACATAGGTTCCTGGAGCCAGCTGGCTAACAGGCTCTGAAGATCCCAGACACCATAGAACATGAGAAAACAACATCACACACATAGTCTCTGAGCCCAGAAGTTCTCAAAAGAAGCTCCAAGACGGAGTGCAGAAGTCATCCTGCTAAGCAATGCAGGACTGTGTCTTGACAACTGAAGACATAAGCTGCGTCTATCTTATCCACCTCTGTATCCCCAGTGCATACACACACAAATAAATTTGGTATGCAGTAGGTACTCAATAAGGAGCTGAAGAATGGACTAACAAATAGTCACTGCATTTGGGAGAAATGAAGACAATTCTTCTCCACAACACTAAAAAATAAATCAATATCAGGGTCACCATATTCTATTCAGAATAGGAAACCAGATGCTTGTCCCATCTGTGTCTACCACTGACTCACTTGGGGTAAGTCTCTTCACTGATGTCTCTCTTCACAGGTATGAGACTCATGAATTCTATACAACTACTCCAAGGGATTGTTGTGAAGATTAAAGGAAATAATGAGCACAGAGAGCCCTTTAAAAGGGCAATTCCTTTATAACCAGAAAGAATCAATGGCACTGGGAGGCACAGAAGGAAAATTTGGGTGTAACAGTATAGCATCACCAAAGACACTCTACAGCCTTCTTACTCAAAGTGTGGGCCTCAAATCAACCTTCACCTCCAACACTGAATCACCTCTTGAAACCCACATCTTTTAAAAAAATTTTTTTATTAGGCCAGGTGCGGTGGCTCACGCCTGTAATCCCAGCACTTTGGGAGGCCAAGACGGGCGGATCACAAGGTCAGGAGATCGAGACCATCCTGGCTAACACGGTGAAACCCCGTCTCTACTAAAAATACAAAAAATTAGCCGAGTGTGGTGGCAGGCACCGATAGTCCCAGCTACTCGGGAGGCTGAGACAGGAGAATGGCGTGAACCTGGGAGGCAGAGCTTGCAGTGAGCGAGATTGCGCTACCGCACTCTAGCCTGGGCAACACAACAAAGCGAGATTCTGTCTCAAAAAAAAAAAGAAAAAAAAAATTTCCGTAGGTTTTTGGGGAACAGGTGGTGTTCGGTTACATGAGTAAGTTCTTGAGTGGTGATATGTGAGATCTGGATATACCCATCACCCAAGCAGTATACAATGAACTTTGTTTGCAGTCTTATATCCCTCACTCCCTTCCCGCTCTTTCCCACTGAGTCCCCAATGTCCATTGTGTCATTCTTATGCCTTTGCATCCTCATAGCTTAGCTCCCACTTATGAGTGAGAACATACAATGTTTGGTTTTCCATTCCTGAGTTACTTCACTTAGAATAATAGTCTCCAGTCCCATCCAGGTTGCTGAGAATGCCATTAATTCATTCCTTTTTATGGCTGAGTAGTATTCCATCATGTGTGTGTGTGTGTGCGTGCGTGTGTGTGTGTGTGATACATATATCACAGTTTCTTTACCCACTTATTGATTGATGGGCATTTAGGTTGTTTTCACATTTTTGCAATTGCTGACACCCACATCTTTTAATATGTGTTATCTATACCTAGGCATTCTCGCCATATCTAACAGCTTGATTTCCAGTAAACAAACAAATATTAAGTGCTTTCACTATGCCAGGATGCTAGGAATAAGGGGCTGAAAAATACATTATCTCTAATTTTAACAAACTGACAGTCTAATGTTATGGTCTGAATGCTTGTGTCCTCCAAAAATGTATGTGTTGAAACCTAACCCCTAAGGTGATGGTATTAAAAAGTGGGACCTTTGGGAGATGATGAGGTCATGAAAAAGGAGTCCTCATGAACGGGATTAGTATCCTCATAAAAGAGGCCCAAGGAAGACTCTTGCCCCTTCTACCATGTGAGGACACAGCAACAAGTCAGCAGTTAATGGAGGTACCAGTTTACTGCTCTCATTACTGTTCCAACAGTTCTGACCAACTAGGTCAGAAACTCAGTATTTTTCAGGGTTTTGGGGATCCTTATGCTCTTTACTGAGCCCATTTGTAAAGACTAACAGATGATTGGAAGAGGGACATGGTATTAAATCAGAAAGACAGTAGAAAAGTTGGCTATCCTTTTAAATTTAAAGTTGGATTCCAAAAGGCAGAAAAGACAGAACCTACCAAATCCCCATGTGTGCCTCACAATGTGGCAGCCACAAGAATCCAAACTGAGCCAGTTTTGGATGGTGAACCATCTTGAATGGTGGCCAAAAACCATAACCTTCCAAGAGCCACACAGGTAATGTCCAACAGCAGTCACAAGGGAAACATAAAACCCAAACTTGGCTGAAGCCAAATGCACAGAACAGGTCCTAAAGATATCATGGATGAAAAAATCTGACTCATCAAATGACATCCCCAAACTCCACCAACAAACATCCCCTTAAAGAAATTAAACTTCAGATCTCCCATACCATCTTCCATAAAACCCTGCTTACACCCTCCCAAGGGTTCTGTTCAACCCTTGTGTTCCAATAAAGCACATTTACTTGTTTATAATGCCTTCTTCTGTTGACCTACCAAGCCATTCCCTTTACAGAGAAAAGGAGAGGAGAATCCACATTTATAACACCTACCAAAGTATATGTTGTTTCTCCCATCTACATGAGGAAACTGAAATGTTGAAAGAGTCAATATCCTGTTGATAGTCACAAAGCCCTTAGAGGGACAAAGCCATATTAAAGTTCAGGTTTGCCAGAAGCAATTGCAAAAAAATGCCAAAATTGACAGATGGGAACTAATTAAACTAAAGAGTTTCTGCAGAGCAAAAGAAACTATCAGCAGAGTGAACAGGCAACTTACAGAACGGGAGAAAATTTTTGCAATCTACCCATCTGACAAAGAACTAATATCCAGAATTTACAAGGAACTTAAACAAATTTGCAAGACAAAAAGAAACAACCCCATCAAAAAGTGGGCAAAGGATATAAGCAGACACTTCTCAAAAGAAGACCATTTACGCAGCCAACAAATATATTTTAAAAAGCTCAACATCACTGATCATTAGAGAAATGCAAATCAAAACCAAAACGAGATACTATCTCATGCCAGTCAGAATGGCGATTATTAAAAAGTCAAGAAACAATAGATGCTGGCAAGGCTATGTAGAAACAGGAATGCTTTTACACTGTTAGTGGGAATGCAAATTAGTTCAACCATTGTGGAAGAGTAGAAGGCAGTATGGCGATTCCTCAAGGATCTAGAACCAGAAATACCACTTGACCCAGCAATCCCATTACTGGGTATATACCCAAAGGAATATAAATCACTCTACTGTAAAGACACATGCACACATATGTTTATTGCAGCACTGTTTACAATAGCAAAGTCATAGAACCAACCCAAATACTTATCAATGATAGACTGGATAAAGAAAATGTGGTACATATATACCATAGAATACTACACAGCCATAAAAAGGAATGAGATCATGTCCTTCACAGGGATATGAATGAAGCTGGAAGCCAACAACCTCAGCAAACTAACACAGGAACAGAAAACCAAACACCGCATGTTCTCACTCATAAGTGGGAGCTGAACAATGAGATCACATGGACACAGGGAAGGGAACAACACACACTAGGGCCTGTTGTGGGGTGGGGGGACGAGGGGAGGGAACTTAGAGGACCAGTCAATAGGTGCAGTAAATCACCATGGCACACGTATACCTATGTAACAAACCTGCAGGTTCTACACATGTATCCTGGAACTTACAGTAAAATATTGAAAAAAAAGAATCTTTAAAAAAAAAAAAAATTTCAGGTTTGTTATCAGCCAGAGCTGAACTCTTTCTACCATCCCTGAAATGACTTGGCTTTCCACACTAACCAAGCTGCCTGTGTCCTGGGCACACAGAGAATGAAGTTTCAAATCTGTTAATCCTGTGAAGCCTTTTCAGATGATCATTAGAAATGCCTTCTCCATGATCCAGTTAATACAGACTACCTGATGTCACGATAAATCCTACTGTGGGAAACATTAGATATTAACTGAAAATGCTCTGCTCCCTACCTTCCTTGTATGAGCACAATGTATTGTAATGTAGTAATAAGGGGAATTACTGGGTTGTGAAGGAGGAGAGGATTATTAATATATAAAATAGTCAAATATCTCTTAAAATAAAAAGACCCTAAAAAACTTTCTTCCTCTGCAGAGTTCTAGCAGCATTATGAGCAAGCCTTCTATGTGGCTTGTGGCTGAAGCACCATGCTCCTCTTTGGAGCAGTCTCCCTCCCAAGCAGGGGGCTCCATTTAAATAGGAACACACACTGAGGAGAGAAGGACGATGGAGAAAGGGTCCACCCGACAAGTGAATCAACAGAGTCAGTCCATCTTCTACAAACCCAACGGACACCCTGAGTTCTCTAAATGCAGACATTTAAATGTGATAGTTTCTTACTCCTGTGCCAGGACCCTGGAGACAGAAAGGGAGATAGTCGGGGGACAGGGGGAGTCATTTCCTAATTCTAAATGCAGGGTTATTTCATTTTAATCCCTAATATGCCAATTACAAAACTAGGCCCATAATGGGGAAAAGATATGCAAATTTAATGATTTGTTCTTACATAGACTCCTCCTTTTGAAATGTGAATTCCTGACCTCTCTTTGAGTTCTGAATAATTTAAACATATACACAGTTTCTCCCCTCACTGCTTTCTTCTTCAAGAGGTTGCTGTTGATTTGCTGACATAATTAACTATGAAATGATTTTCTACAGAACAAGACCTTCAAAGCAATGCTATTATCATCAGCATATTGGCCGAAATCCACAGTTTTTCCCAGAAAGTCACTCAAATTAAAACAACGAAAGAACTCACCAACCTTACTGACTGCTGTAAGATCTCGGCAAATTCAGGAGGAGCTGAGGACAATATCAGATAAAGCAACAAAATCCATTCTCCATGCGATCATGCAAAATTTCCCCCCTCAGAGACAATGCCAAGTCACAGATGGGTTGAAGTCTTTGGCCCATTCTTATGTTTACCAGTTTATGAAGCCTGGTCTGGTAGCTTTTTTTTTTTTTTTTCCTCACTCTGTCACCCATGCTGGAGTGCAGTAGTGCAATCTCCACTCACCGCAGCCTCTGCCTCTTGGGTTTCAAGCAATTCTCTTGCCTCAGACTCCCAAGTAGCTGGGATTAGAGGCACACACCACCACACCCAGCTAATTTGTTTTTGTATTTTTAGTAGAGACAGGGTTTTGCCATGTTGCTCAGAATGGTCTCGAATTCCTGGCCTTAAGTGATCTGCCCACCTTGGCCTCCCAAAGTGCTGGGATTACAGGCAAGAGCCACCACGCTTGGCCCTGGTCTGGTAGCTTTAAGGCCGAAGGTGAAAGGACTAAAGAATGAATTATTTGAAGATTAAACATTAGACTTGACCATTCCACAAACATGGCTCTGTCAAAAGTACCACGAACCAAAGTACAAGCTTAAACAGCACCAATGCTTCTTCTGCCCAAAATAAAGCCCAATATCTTTATTTGACCCAAAAGGACCTCTAAGCTCAGGCCCCTGCCTGACTTTCTAACCTTAGCTCCCTGCCTCTCTCCCTAACCTCAACCTTCGTACTTCAATGCTACAAAACTACTAGAAACTATTCAAAGGAAGGCTTGGTGCTTTTGTTCATACTGTTCCCTCTACCTGTAATGCAAAGAATACAAACTTATAGTTCATAGAAAAATAAATACATAGGAATCTTTCAACTGACAAATAGTGTAGGAATATAAATCAAAACAACACTAAGATATAATTTTACACCTAACAAACAGGAACTGGAAAATTTTGATAATACCCACTTGGCAAAAGTGTGGGAAACAGGCTGTTTCATACACTTTTCATAGAAAAGTGATTCTATCTTTGATAGAATAATTTAGTACTATCTATCCATTTTTAAAATCAAGTCTTTTACCCAACAGTTTAACTTCTAAGAATTTATCTTCTAAGAATTTATGCACTGACTCATCAAAAAGATACAAAAAAAATCCACCACAACCTTTTTTTGTAAAGGCAAGAACATATCCACAAACACTCTAGAAGCAAATTAAATGATTATTAATAGGGGACTTCTAAAATTGATACATCAGTAGCTGTTGAATGAGAAAAAAAGAAAGCTGCTAATTATATATTATTAACTAAAAAAGCAAGTTCTTGGATGATACAGTATGATGCCATTTGTATTATTTTTTAATAAAGAATAGAGCAAAAGCTCTATTTTCTTCATGCAATACAGTGGTTCTCAAACTTTTATTTTCTCAAATTTTAACAGGGCCATTCGTGGTCTCTAGAAGAGCAGCAGCATTAGTATCACCAGGGAACTTGGTAGAAATTCAAAGTCAGGCCCCCTTCCAGCTCCAGTGACTCAGAAACACTGGGGTGGGGTTCAGCAGTCTGTGCTTTAAAAAGGCCTCCAGGTGATTCCGATGGATGCTAGAGTTTGAGAACCACTGTATTGTATAAAGACCTATCATAAAAGATTTCAGGAAACACACACAAAACCTGCTTACTGCAATGACATCCAGCAAAAAGAAATATAGTGGAGGTTTGGAGGCCATTTACCTGTCCCTCTCTGTGCTGTCTGAATGTTCTCAATGAGCAGCTATTACAGTAATAGGAAGGAAGACCTTCTCTGTATTGAGTTGAACTGTGCTTAGTATAGCTCCTACCCTCTAGTCCTAATTTTTATCCCAAAGGATCATCCAAACAGCCTTTTTTACCCTTATACATGGGCTACCCTTTCAAATGTTTTAAGATGACTCTCATGACCTCCTGTTGGGTCTTCTTTTCTCCATGCTATACATTTTAAGTTCCTGTAATTTTCCTCCATGACATGGTTTTCTAAAATAAAAAGAGAAGCAGCAGCATTAAGAGGCACTGACCATACTTAACTAGAATGATCTTCAGTCACCCATGTTTCTACATGACACTGCATGGAGATGAGGTAAGCTGGGCTAGCTGCACACGGTAAGCACACAGGAAGTCTTCCTTTTCCCTCTCCCTTCCTGGAGACCCCCTGGATGCAACACATGCTGGGACACATCACTGGCCCATCCAGCCCAGCATCCAATCTCTGACAAGGATAAGTTGTTCTTGATAGGAACAAACTATCTATAGTTTGTTCTAACTAACATAAAAAATAATCTGCTTTTTAAGGGAGAAGGGAAAGGGAGCTGGGGCTTCTTCACAAACTGTCTTTGAGGGGAATTTTGAGGTAATCCTTGTCAAATACACTATTCTTCCCTTAAGGGTTCACTAGAATTAGTGTTATCTGTGTTTTATCAATATGTAGCTTCACATGAATCCAAATGCTTTTTAGACTTACTTATATTTTGAGCCAACCCTCATCTTACATCAATAAATTTCTTATGAACATTTACTCTGTGCAAGATGTGGTGCCAGTGACTTACCAGATGGCCTTGCTAATCTTTTCTGCAACTTTTAGATGGGAAACCAAGGTTCTGAGCAGTTAGGTCACCTGTCAGGGTCATAGAGTCAGTGAATAACAGAGAAGGATTTCAATCCTATGTTCTTTCTACTATGTCACATGACAATTTTTTAAAGATCCTAACAATAGCCTTATTCAAATGTCAAAGCTGCCACATAATTCTACAATCCCAATATTTGGTTAACTAGATTGAGTTTGATCTGTCTAAATCACTCGATTTTTTTTTTTTTTTTTTTTTTTTTGAGACAGGGTCTCACTCTATCACCCAGGCTGGAGTGTAGTGATGCAATTATAGCTCATTGTGGCCTCGACCTCCTGGGCTCAAGCCATTCTCCCATAACAGCCTCACGAGTAGCTGGGACTACAGGCATGCACCATCATGACACAATAATTTTAGATTTTTTATAGAGATGGTGTTTTGCCATGTTGGCCAGGCTGGTCTCGAATTCCTGGGCTCAAGCTATCCTCCCACCTCGGCCTCCCAAAGTTCTGAGATTACAGACATGAGCCACCGTGCTTGGCCTCATTCTTCATTTTATAGACTTTGTCTTCTTCTCAATTTTCATCTTGCAATATCCAGTCAGCAACCGAGTCCTTTCTTAATCTCTCTCCCATAGCCTGTTTAGCAGAATCCAAGCTATTCAGCTCTCAGCATAATCTGCAATGGATTTCAGTGTAGCTCAGCCCCAAATCTAGATGGTTAAGGGACTGGTAATATATTTAGCCTGAACAATTTTTATTTGATTTTCCTATCCTTCCTAAGTGCACTCTATACATATGTCACTGTATATTCTTCCCCAACTACATATCCATTCTCTACCTTCCCTCCCTGCTATCTGTCCTGGGGACAATAATCTGGATCTCCAAGACTCTCTAATCCTCTGTCTTCTAGTTGGGTTTGAGCAATGGAGAGCTCTAGCTGAAGCCTCAAAGGAAGGAGAAGAGTAAGGTCAGGCCTCTTTTCCTGTAGAGTTGGCCTGGGCCAGCTGCTTCTCTTGGGCTAAAATAACAGATCCTCTCCAGGCAGGCTTCTCCACACGATTTCTCCTTTTGGGTTCTGGTAACCAGTCCTTCCCTCACCCCTTTGGGTCTAAGGATGTAACAGTCTTACTGTTACTAGACCCAGGCATTCAGGCTGCCCTCACTTACTCAATAGTTCTTTTATTGAAAATTATCCTAATTTAGTTATAGCTTATGTTTTTCCCTCTGATATACTTCCTTCACCATGCTCTTAGCACCTTGAAGTGGTAAAAGTTCCCCTTTATTATTGGTATCTGAGTACCTCAAAAATCCCCTCCTCACATCTTTAGATAGTCCCTTATTTATATTTTCCTCAAAAATTCTAGTTGAATGCTTCCAATTCCAGCCAAGATGTAGTGACAGGAACCATATTTACCTCCCTGCTTAAAACAATGGGGAAAAAAATAGAAAACAAAGATTCTCATGACATTGGACATCAGGCAACAGAGTAATCACACAGAGATGGGAAAAAATGAGATAAGTCCTTCAATGGCTCAAGTTTAATCCCTGGGATATGTCTGCAGATTGTGGCACAAAAAGGATGAACACAGGCCAAGCCCAGCAGTCTCCCTGAGTTGAGGAGACAGAGCTGAAAGTCTGTGGAGAACAAAAAGGCTAGAATCTTGGGCAAGAGAGGAGAGAGCTGCACAGAAGAAGAATGCCAGAGAATTGCAAAGGTACTCCCCAAGTATTCAGGAGAGTACTAATCATCCGTACTAATGCATCTATATGTGAAAACAATCTGAGGCAGAAGCACCAAAAAGGATTAGAGAGAACAAATCAGTGGGCTTCACATAAGGCCAGGAATAGTTCTATTCATAACAGCCAGAGTAGAAAGCCTCATAACTCAGAGGGAATTGGGTAGAGTATAAATTCTACCAAGCATTTAAACAATTAATAAAATTCTTCTTGAACTCTTATAAAAAATTAAAGAGGAAGGAATACTTCCACACTCATTTTATGAGGCCAGCATTACCATTACCCTTAAACTAAAGCTAGACAAGGACATTATGAGAAAAGATAATTACAGGCCAATATCCACAATGAACACAGATGCAAAAATCCCCAATAAAATACTAGCAAACCAAATTCAACAGCACATTAAGAAGATCATTCACCATGATCAAGTAAGTAACTATCCTTGTAATGCAAGGATGGTTCAACATATGCAAATCAATAAATGTGATACACTACATTCACAGAACAAAGGATAAAAATACTATCATCTCAATAGATTCTGCAAAAGCATTTGACAAAATTCAACATACTTTCACAATAAAAACTATCACAAATTAGATATAGAAGGAATCCACCTCAACATTATACAGACTATATATGACAAGCCCAAAGCCAATATGATACTCAACATCAAAAAGCCGAAAGCTTTTCCTTTAAGATCAGGAACAAGAGAGAATGCCCACTCTTACCACTACTATTCAGCACAGTATTGGAAGTCCTAGCTAGAGCAATTACAAAAGAAAACTAAATGAAAGGCATCCAGATTGGAAAGGAAGGGATAACATTGTCTGTTTACAGATGACATGATATTATATATAGAAAACCACCCAAAGACTCCAAAAAACTGTTAGAACTAATAAATTAAATCAATAAAGCTGTAGAATAAAAAATCAACATAACAAAAAGCAGCCGCATTTCTATTCACTAACAATGAACTACCCCAAAAAGAAATTAACAATCTCACTTAGAAGGGCATCAAAAAGGAAAAAGTACTTAGGAAAAAATTTACCAAGGAGGTGAAAGATTTGTATATTGAAAACTATAAACCTATGATGAAAGAAACTGAAGAAGACACAAATAAATGGAAACATATCCATGTTCACAGACTGGTAGAAATAATATTGCTAAAATAACCATACTACTCAAAGTGATCTGCAGATTCAAAGTAATTTCTATCAAAATACCAATGGCATTTAAAAAAAAAATAGAGAAAAACAATCCTAAAATTCATATGGAACCACAAAAAACTCCAAATAGCTAAAGCAATCTTGGGAAAGAACAAAGCTGGAGACATCACACTTCCCAATTTCAAATTATATTACAAAGCTATAATAATCATAACAATATGGTGCTGGAATAAAAAGAGACATATACACTAATGGAACCAATAGAAAACCCAGAAATAAACTACTCATATACAATCAACTACCCTTTGACAAAAGCAACAAAAACACAATGGGGAAAAGGAAGTCTCTTGAATAAATGGTGTTGGAAAAACTGGATAGTCACATGCGAAAGAATGAAATTGAACCCTTATACTATACACAAAAATCAACTCAAAATGGATTACAGTTGTAAACATAAGACCTGCAACATTAAAACTCCTAGAAGAAAACGACAAAAAACTCCTCGACATTGGTCTTGGCTATGATTTTTTGGATATGACATCAAAAGCATGAGCAATAAAAGCAAAAATAAACAAGTGAGGCTACATCAAAGTTTCTGCACAGCAAAGGAAACAATCGAGAAAATGAAAAAGCAACCTCTAAAAGAGAAAATATTTACAAATCATATATCCCAATAAGGGCTTAAAATCCAAAATATATTTTTAAAAATGTATACAACTCAAGTAACTTAATTTTTTTTAATGGGCAAAGAACTCGAATAGACATTTTCCCAAAGATGACATACAAATGCCTAATAGGTATATGAAAACGTGCTCACCCATGACTAATCATCAGCAAAGTGTAAATCAAAAGCACAATGAGAAATCACTTCATACCTATTAGGATAGCTATTATCAAAAGTCAAAGAATAAGTATTGATGAGAATATGGAGAAAAGGGAACCATTGTACACTGTTGGTAGGAATGTAAATTGGTACAGCATTATGGCAAACAGTACAGAAGTTCCTCAAAATAATAAAAATAGAACTACCATATGATATAGTAATCTTACTTCTGGATATATATCCAAAAGAAATGAAATCACTACTTGGTGTAATAGCTGTACTCCCATGTTCATTGCAGCATTACTCACAATAACTAAGATATGAAAACAACCTTAATGTCCACAGATGGGTGAATGGATAATGAAAATGTCATACATATATACACAATGGAATATTATTCAGTCTTAAAGATTCCTGCCATTTGCCACAATACGGATGAACTTAAGAGTACAACATCCTATTGAAATAAGCCAAAAACAGAAAGACAAACACTGCATGATATTCCTTATATGAAGAATCTAAAAAAGTCCAACTCATTAAAGCAGAGAGGAGAATGGTGGTTACCAGGGATTGAGGAAATGGGGAAATGTTGGCCAAAGAATACAAACTTTCAGTTATTAGAAAAATTCTGGAGATCTAATGTACAACATAGTGATTACAGTTGATAATTTACTGTATACTTAAAATGTGCTAAGAGAGTAAATCTTAAGTGTTCTCACCACACCAAGAAAGAGTACATGAGGTGATGGATATAATTAGCTTGATTGTGGTAATCATTTCACAATGTATATCAAATTGCGTTGCACACCTTGAGCATGTACAATTTTTACTCATCAGTCATACCTCAATAAAGCTGGGGGAAAAAGGAAATAGATAACCTGAACAATCCTATATCTATGTAATCAAACGACTTTGTATTTAACCTCCTGCCCCCAAAACAACAACTCCAGGCCCTGATGGCTTCACTAGTGAATCCTACTAAACAGGGTTTTTTGGGGTTTTTTTTGGAATTGTGAATGGCTTTATTTTTTAAAACTTATTTAATAAGATTCAATTAAACTTTCAACAAACTGAATAAAGTTCAATTTTATTTAAATACTTTAGGTTTGCATTTTTTATATTAATAAATTATTTTTTTTTCTAATCCTCTTTCCTCCTACCCCCTCAAGTAGATCTAACCCTCAAGTAGATCTCAGTGTCTGTTGTTCCCCTCTTTGTGTCCATTTGTTCTCATTGTTTAGCTCTCACTTATAAGTGAGAACATGCAGTATTTTTGGTTTTCTGTTTCTGTGTTAGCTGGCTCAGGATAATGTTCTCCAGCTTGCTCCATCCATGCTGCTGTAAAGGACATGATCATGTTCTTTTTTATGGCTGCATAGTATTCCATGGTGCATATGTACCACATTTTCTTTATCCAATCTACCATTGACCGGCATTTAGACTGATTCCATGTCTTTGCTATTGTGAATAGTGCTGCAATAACATTTAAGAAACAAAAATACCAATTCTACATAATCTCTTCCAGAAAAAATCAAAATGGAAGAAATACTTCCTAATTCATTCTACGAGGCCAGATTTACCGAGAGGTCAGGTATTTAGCTGATACAAGAAAACTATAGATCAATATCCATCATAAGGATGGATACAAAAATTCTTCAAACTTCAGCTAATAAAATTCAGCAATATAAAAAAAGGATAATATGCCCTGACCAATAGGGTTTATCTCAGGAACACAAGATTTAACATTGGAAAAAAAAACCAATAAATGTAATTCACCACATTAAGAATCTTTTTTAAAAATATAAATGATCAGCTGGGCGCAGTGGCTCACGCCTGTAATCCCAACACTTTGGGAGGCCAAGGAGGGCAGATCACCTAAGGTCAGGAGATCAAGACCAGCCTGACCAACATGGAGAAACCCCATCTCTACTTAAAAAAAAAAAAAAGAAAGAAAGAAAAATACAAAATCAGCTGGGTGTGGTGGTGCGTGCCTGTAATCCCAGCTGCTCGGGAAGCTGAGGCAGGAGAATCGCTTGAACCTGGGAGGTGGAGGTTGCAGTGAGCCGAGATCACGCCACTTCACTCCAGCCTGGGCAACAAGAGCGAAACTCCATCTCAAAAAAAAAAAAAAAAAAAAAAAAGAATGATCACAACAGTTATAGGAAAAACAACAAAATTACAACTTCCATTATTCCTTTAAAAAAATTCTCAGTAAAGTAGGAATACAATGAAACTTCCTAAACCTAATAAAGCATATCTACAAAAGATATACAACTAGCATCATGCATCATACTTAATAATGAAAAAATGAATGCATCTCCCTCAGATCAGGAAGAAGGCAAGATGTCAGCTCTCATCAGTTCTATGCAAAGCAATGGTTCTGGCTAGTGGAATACAGCAAGAAAAATAAAAGGCAATCTCATCGGAAAGGAAGTAAAACTATCTTTATTTACAGATGACAGGATCACCTAAATAGAAAATCTGATGGCATCTACAAAAATGCTCTTAGAAATAATAAGCACATGAGCAAGATTTCAGGATACACAATCAATATACCAGTAACAAGAAAACAACTGGAAAATAAATTTTTAAAATACATAAAATTTTAATATCATTTACAATATCATCAAAAAATAGGAAATACCTACAGATAATCCAACAAAGATGTGTAAGACCTACATATTGAGAGCTACAAAACATTGCCTAGAGAAATAAGGAAGACTTAAATAAATGAACAGATATACTGTGTCCACGGGTCAGAAGACTTGGTATTTCAAATGTCAATTCTCCCCCCAAATTAATGTATACATTCAATACAATTCCAGTTAAAATCTAAATAGGCCTTATTTTGAAATGGACAAAGTGATTATAAAATTCATATGGAAATAGAACCTAGAATAATCAAAACAAATTTTAAAAAGAACAAAATTAAAGGACTTATACTACCTGATTTCAGTACTTATTACAAAGCTGTATTTATAAGACTATGTGGTGTTCGCATTAAAATAGACAAGAGATCAACTGAACAAAATAAAACACAAAATTGGGCCAATGTATACATGGTAAATTGATTTTTGAACAAAGGTGCAAAGGCAATTCAATGAAGATAGGCTTTTCAGCAAACAGTGCTGGAACTGGATAGCCATATGCAAAAAAAAAACTTGATTCCATATTTCATGTCCTATACAAAAATTACCTTAAAATGATCACAGATTTAATATAAAACCAAAAATGACAAAACTTCTTTTAAAAATAGGAAGAATATTTGAGACCTTAGGTTAAGCAAAGATATCTTAGATAAAACACAAAAAGCATGATCCATTATAATTCAGATTGGTAACATTTATTTAACCAAATTATAAATTAGACTTCATCAAAATTAAGAACTCTGCTTTCAAAAGACACTGTTGAGACAAGCATCAAAATAAGAAAATATCTGCAAGTTACACGTGATAAAGAACTTATGATAAGAATAAAGAATTCTCAAAGCTCAATAAAAAGAAAATAAAAGGCTCATTTTTTAAAATGGACGAAAGATTGAATACATACTTTACCTTAGGGGGTATACAAAGAGGAATTAAAAAGGGCACAAGCAATCTTTGGGGTTATTAGGTATGTTCTTTTGATGGTCATGATGGTTTTCATAGATATATGCATATAACAAAACTTCTCCAATTAGACACTCTCAATACGTAGTTTACTGGATGTCAGTTATTCCTCACTAAAGCTGCTACAAAATAGCCCACTCAAGAACACCTACTGATGACTACATTCCTTCTTATCCCTACATTCAGTCAGTAATTAATTTCCATTAGATATGAGCTCTAAATTTCTCTTCAAAGAATCAATATGTCAGTATGTTCAATTCTTTTCTACTTTTAAATTTAACGTCCTCATAAAGCAAGCTTTTTCGATCACCTGCTCCACCCAGACTCACTGACTCATTCCGATTACCTGCTCATTCTCCACCCTGACTCATTCCGATTTCCTGCTCTGCCATAACCATTTTTCCCGCCAAACCACTCACATCGTCACTCTCTTTAAATTAGCCAATTGGAATTAGTTTAGCCTGTGCAGTCTAACCCTAGCCAATAGGGGAACGACACAGCAACAGGGGCCACGTGCGTCAGGCATAAGACCCGCCCCCCCACCCTTGTCCAGGTGTGCGCTCACCATTGCTCCATCTGTGAGGGCGCACCCTTCTATAGAAGTAAATGGCCTTGCTGAGAAGAAAAAAGAAAATTTGATATTCAAGTGCTATTTCTTTTGTGGCACTGAACCTTTATAACATTCCTAACCATTCTATTTTCCTAATCTCTCTCCACTCCCATAACTATTACCCTAACACGTCTCTCACCTATATTACTACAATTACCTCTCTCCGGGCTTCGCCAATCCAATTCATTCTCCAAACTGCAGCCAGAATTAATTTTCTATAACATAAACCTGAGAGTATGTATCACTGTTTGCCCTGGAGATATATTTCAAACTCCCCTAAGATGATTCACCAGACCCTTCCTGACCTGGCCTTCACCCTCCCCAGCCTCCTGTCAGGTGATTTTTTCCAACTTATCCTTTCCTGCACAGCCATCCTAATCAACCATGTGCCATGCTTGTGTAGTTCTGCACATGCTGTTCCCGGTTCATATAATCCCTCGCTCTTTCTCCAGCCCACTCATACTTAGGCTTTGGAACTCGGCTCCAGTATTCCCTTCTGGGAAGTCCTCCCCAAATGGCTTCCCCATGTTGAGCCATTTGCCCTTCTCTCAACTCCTGGGAGTCTTCGGCATACCTTTTCAATGTACTCATCTCACTATCACATAATCTCCCTCATCAAAGTGGATTGAAGCAAACTGGATGAAAGCTTGAAAGCAGAGACCAAGTCTTACTCATCTGCACTTTCCCAGAGACTACCACAGTTCTGGGCCCAAAGTATGTGGACAAGATGAGTGAACAAATGAATACATGAAGAACTGATTTGGATGATCTCTGACACCACCTGGGTTGATTCTATGTCCCTCCATTATAAAAAGGTGGGCGGGTGAGAAGGTAAGTGATCTCTGTAGCACGTTCTGGTAAAATAATCATTTCAAATCCCCCTGGGGGTGGAGGTAGGGGGTTCCACTCTGGCTAGGAGATTAAGGGCAAGATTCATTACCTCAAATTATTTTAAAAACCAGCTGGTAATTGACTGTGATTTAAACTATTTAAATCAATAAGTGAAAGGTTAGGTAAAGGGAACTATTTAAACTAATAAGTGAAAGGTTAGGGAAAGGGAACCAAATTCCAGGAAAAGCCAAGGCCCACAACAAAAACTAACACAGCCTGGAAGGCCCAGCCTCCTCCCAGTAAACTTATTAATTTTATCCAGAAAGACATGGCTCTCCACCCTCTGGGGTTATGCCCTTCTCCCAGCACACATGTTTTGACTTCCAAATCCAGCCAGGCAGGCTCCCAACCTCCCTCCCCCTCAAAATTGATCTCCAGGCCCAGCTGACCCCCTCTGATCTGTTCCCCCAATCATCCTTAATAACAGTGCTCTGGGCCTCCCACTAGGAGGTCCTCCAAGAGCCAGGCCAGTGGCCATCAGGTCAAGAGCCAAGCATGAGGGCCCCATTAACAGGAGACTCCCAGAAGACCAAGCGGCAGTCATCTGGCTGGAAAATCCAGCAAGCAAGTTAAAAAGGAAAAAAATCAGGACATACACGTGGTGGATCATAGAAAAAAAAGAGGAAAAGCAAGCAAAAACTATACAAAGCAAAACTCTACCATTTAAATAACAGCCACAAAATAAAAGACTTTCCCTTCTTTCATTCTGATTTACAAGTCAAAAGAATAAGCACCTCACCCCTCCTGGTCTCATACTTTAAAATTTAACCTAAGGATTAACTGCTTTTCAGACTTTGGTCATGTCATGACTGACTCTTCGGGGAAGAAATTTGTGTTAAGACACAGAAGTGCTTTAGTGGAAAACAGCCCATGATGAGGGAAATTCACCATTTTGCACCTTGTCAATTTTTTTTTTTTTTTTCTGAGACGCTCTGTCCCCCAGGCTGGAGTGCAGTGGCACGATCTCAGCTCACTGCAAGCTCCGCCTCCTGGGTTCACGCTATTCTCCTGCCTCAGCCTCCCGAGAAGCTGGGACTGCAGGCGCCCGCCACCACGCCCGGCTAATTTTTTGTATTTTTAGTAGAGACGGGGGTTTCACCGTGTTAGCCTGGATGGTCTCGATCTCCTGACCTCGTGATCCACCCGCCTTGGCCTCCCAAAGTGCTGGGATTACAGGCGTGAGCCACCGCGCCCGGCCCCTTGTCAATCTTTAAATAAAAAGGAAACGGCTAAAAATGAAAAGATATCCCTAGGCCTTTCTACTCAGGATAACTGTAACCAAACAGCATTATCTCATCTAAACTCAGCTGTGCCTCAAACATTATCACAAGTGCTGGAAGCGTTTAAATCTACAAGCAACACTAGCCTAAAAATGCCTTCGGTAGCCAGACGTGAATTAAAGGCTCCTCAAATGCCAGGAAAATGTCCTACAAGGGTAAGGGGAGGAGAGAAAGAGTACTGAATACAGATAAGTGGGCACTGATCGGAGAGGAAGCAGCACGGGTTCCAGACACCTAATAGGCAGCC
Source organism: Homo sapiens (assembly GCF_000001405.40). Lineage (NCBI taxonomy): Eukaryota > Metazoa > Chordata > Mammalia > Primates > Hominidae > Homo > Homo sapiens. The sequence goes on along the minus strand of NC_000001.11, from coordinate 59,297,211 downwards.
TTGGGGATGCAGTCAAGGCCGACCCTTCCCTTCCCTTCCCTTAAGTGGCCGGACGCCTCACCCAGAAGAGGACACAGGGGACTCAACAACGTCTCGGGAACAACGGCCCGGCGGGTGTGAGACTAAGCGGCCAGGAGGAGGAAGGGGAGGAGGAGGCAGGGGAGGAGGAGGCAACGACTGCGGGAAAGGGGAAGGAAGGGCCGGGCCGGGTTGGAGAAGCCTCTTTCTGGGCGTGCGCGCTAAGAGCCTGCGCACCAGCAAAAGCCCCCAGCGCCCACGTGGGACTGAGAGGAGGGTCACTTACAGTACTTGTCCAATCTGAAATTACATTTTAGCTAGACGGATTCTGCACGTAGCCGCGCCGAACCCCACGGCGCCTGAGCAGGGCGGTCCCGGGGCGGCTACAGCCCCGCCTTGCGCGCGATCCCGCCCCCGCCGGCGCGGCCCCTGTAAAGCGCGGCCCCTGTAAAGCGCGGCCCCTGTAAAGCGCGGCCCCTGTAAAGCGCGGCCCCTGTAAAGCGCGGCCCCTGTAAAGCGCGGCCCCTGTAAAGCGCGGCCCCTGTAAAGCGCGGCCTGATTGGCCCTTTGAACCGGGCGTGGGATTGGCCGTCGCCTGCCCACCCCGCGGCTGCAGCGTTCCCTGGGGCCTAGCCAACCGCGGGCAGGGCTGGGCAAGGCGGGAGGAGCGCGGACCCAAGATCGGCTACGCTGCGTCTGCTCAGGCTGCGAGTTCCCGGCTCTGGGGACTCACCTTGCGGAGCTTACCCAGGCGGACTCTCCGCAGCCCCTGATGGGTGTGTGTGTCAGACCGTTTACTAAACACCAGGACTGTTGTAGGCGACTGTAAGAAATAAGAATATTGCATGGTTACAATTCTTGAATGCTTACCTTGTGTCTTGTTCCTTACTCTACAGAAATTTTCTAATCCCGTGGCGAACCCCCGTACTTCAACGTATGACATTCTGTAAATCTACAAAACAGATGGGTCCCTGCCTTTGAGAAGTTTTTACAATTTAGTGGGTACTGGACACGGACCTAATTTAATTCTCACATGCCTTCCCTTTCTAATAAGCTGCATGTTATGTATCCCTATTCTACAGATGTGGGGAATCCGAAATTTTTAGCTTTTACTGGGACACACAGCTAGCAAGCAACTAAAGCGAGAATTCCAACCTGAGCTCCAATCCGAACTATTTTCATAAAAGGCAGGATCCCAGGCTGAGGGAGTTCGAGGTTTGGGAGACAGTTTAGCAGTCGCTGAGTCCAAACATGTTGTTTTCCTAGAAAAGAAAACTGAGATCCAGGAAAGGGAAGTGATTTTCCAAAGACACACCTGTGAAAGGTAATAATTTCACTGAACGGATCTTAAGTGGCAGGTGCACTAAGATTGTCTGCTATCTTCACAACAACCCCGAAGTAAATAAGTGCTCTTATCTTGGTCTTACAGGTGAGGAGAACAGCCCAGTGAGGCTGAGGCCACACAATTAACCCCAGTCTTTGCACTACAACTCTACCAGGGATCCTGGTTTGGCTCATTTTCTTTCTTCTGCACCATGATTGTTCACCTTTTCATTACCAGCAACATACCCAAAGACCTAGCTATAGACTCGTTGGAATCTGTTACTTAGCAGCTGTGTGAATCAAGTGTTCAATAGGAATAATAAGATGTATTCATCTTACCTTTTCAGAACATTATGAAGAACAAATGTGGTAAGACATATGAAAATGCTTTGTAAAGTGTTAGATGCTTAATACACAGAAGACATTGCTTCCAGATCTGTTTCAACGTACCCCAAGAATGGAATAAGTGGAATATGCTGGTTTCATGCACTGTGGCAAGGGGGTCTCATCTTGGCTAGACTTGAATAAGTGGATTTGTTGCCTGGCCTCTGTGGATGGCTCTTTCTCTGGGCTTTTGTGTATTTGATTTTTTATTTGCTCCAGCAGCCGTGTTGAACCATGAAAGGACCTCAGGAATGAAACCCACACACAGCAAAGCAACAAAGTGAAAGAAGCGTGGATTCCTAATGCAGGAGGCACTGAACCAATCAATACCCACTGCCCTCCAGACCTCCACATGAAAGAAAAAAACTGCTGTCCTGTGTAAGACACTTTTATTTTGTGTTTCTATTGTATGAGGTCAAACCTAATAACAGATATATTACACTCTAACAGATACATTACATTGTATAGTAGAATTCTCAGACAGCAACCTTATAAGGTGATAGATGCAGAAACAGGCCCAAAGAGTAAAAATAATTTGTTCAGAGTTTTCCAGCCAAGTGGCGAAGGTGAGATTCTTACCTGGGTTTGTCTGAAACCAATTTTCACTATCTTTTTCAGTTATGATACACTGCCTATTACGAATGAATGAATCCTTTTTTTTTTTTCCATTTACTTCCATTTGATTCATTTATTCCAGGGAGTGACACTTTTTCTGTAAAGGACCGATAGTAAATATTTTAGACTTTGTGAGCAATACAGTCTCTGTTGCAACTACTCAACTTTGTAATGTAAAAGCAGCCATAGACAATAGTAAATGAGTAGGTATGACTATGTTTCAATAAAACTTTACTTACACAAGCAGGCAATGGACAATGTGGCCCATGAGCCTTAGTTTGCCAACCCCTAATGAAATGGGAAAAGTTCCCTTGTCCCCTTCACAGGGCGTGCGATGTGGGTGTGACTCACTTCTTCAGTCCCCACTGCACAAACCTCTAGGGAAGCATACAGACAGGTAGGCTGTGGAGATCTGACCCCACGGCAGTGTCTAGGGGTGACTGTTTACAGCCAAAGCCCCAGTGGGCACATGTAGCAGGGTGCTCTTTTAGTTTAGCCGTCCGTGGGTGGCTTGTGTTAGCCAGCTCAATTAAACCCCTGCCTTATTGCAAGGACAGAGGGCTTTCTGTATCTCGGGGTTCTTGCCTTGGTGTAGCAGAAGAATTGGATCACACGTGGGCTTGGAGAATGATTGCAAGGTTTTATGGAGTGAAAGTAGCTCTCAGCAGGTGGAGGAGCCAAAAGGGAGATGGTTTTCCCCTGGTGTCGGGCCGCTTGGCGGCCCAGGCTCTCCTCCCACTGCCCCAGCCAAACTCCATGTCATTCTGCCAGTTGGTGGCCTGCTGGCGTAAGTGTGTTCTCTCAACGTCCAGCTGCCCGCGTGTTCCTCCGCTGATGTGCTCCTCTCGACGTCCAGCCGCCTGTTTGTCTACCTGCTAGGGTCTCATGGTTTTTATAGCACAGGATGGGGGTGTGGCAGGCCAGGGTTGTCTTGGGAAATGCAATATTTGGGCAGGAAAACAAAATTATGCCTGTCCTCACCTAGGTCCTTGGGCACACATACGCATGTCCCTGCCCCCTTCCCTATCATTTAAAGGGACACACCCTTCACTTCCCAGCACTTCTGTATCACTAATTTATTGTATTCTGATGTTCCATCACAAAAGTGCATAGAGGACATATTATAGAAGGTCCCCCACCTTCTGTGACATTGTGAAATTGCAAGCATGCTCATACTGCTGTCCAACATAAGGGCTAATGACAGTGTGGTTCAGAAGATCCCTAAACTGACGGCCATGAGTTCATATCTGCCATTGCTACGATTTGAATGTGTCCCCAAGAAAGCATGTATTGGAAACTTAATCCCCAATGCAACAGTGTTGGGAGGTGAGGCCTAATGAGAGGTGGTTAGGCCATGCAGGCTTCACCCTCATGAATGGATTAATACCATTGTCACAGGAATTAGTTCATTATAAAAGGGCAAGTTTGATTTCCCAACCCCTCTTTCTCACCCTCTCACCTTCTGCCATGGGATGACACAGGAAGAAGACACTCCCCAGATGCCAGCAACTTGATATTGGACTTCCTGCCTTTAGAAACGTGAGAAATAAATTTTTTTTCTTTATAAGTTACCCAGCCTCTGGCATTCTGTTATAGCAGCACAGAACAGACTAAGACAGCCACTGAAACCAGATCTATGTCCCGGACCACCCTCATTTGCCTCAATTTCTCTCTATATATAATAAGAACAAATAATGCAAATGCTATCTATACTTCCCCGTGACTACAGGGAGACTAAGGGATGAAATATATAATCACACTTTGAAAATATATAAATGTTATCCAACCATACATCCATTGTTTCACATCAGGCTGGGCCACATAGCTTCCTCTGTACCCTTTAGTTTCCTGCCCTTATCTCTATCACAGGCCATATATCAAATGCCTAGTAATTATCAGTGCATCTATATATTCCCTATTCTCCCCAACAATACATAAAAGGTTATTGCATTGCATTGAATTATAAGACTTGATTACTGGAAAGTCTAGACATCACTCAGGGTCATTGTGGGGCAGCATGGGGATTATGCAGTGTCATTATCCACTAAGCACACTGGAGGTCACACCAGTGAAGTAGCACGTCAGATGTAAGCAAGACAGAGCTGGGTTGTGAAACTCTGGAACCAGCTGAGCTGAAAGTTTGTGTAATTTCCTTCCTGCTCAGAGATGGTTCCATATAGTAGACAGAGAGGAGACACGGAGCTTCTCTGGTAAGCTGTGGAGGCCCTGTAATGCTCTAACTGCATTCTATGAAAGCTTTTCCTGCATTAGCAACCTGCCCATTACCAGAGAAAAGAGATATTTTCCCTAAGATTCTTAGAATCATAGCACAGAAATAGATCTTATTATTCATTTATTCATTCCTACATTTATGTATTCATTCATTCAACAAAGATTTATTGAGTACTGTTCTAGGCATTAAAGAGATAGTGTTTGAGATGAACAGATATTTTCCTTGTCCTCATGGAACTTACAGTCAGGAAACACATTAAAGAAATAAACACACAAATATGTAGTTGATTCAAGTGCAAGTAGAAAGGAAAACAGAAAACTGTAAGAGAGGGAAGCTGATTTTGATTGAAGTTTAATTTAGAGTGGGGATTTTGAAGAGGCAGATAACATTACACACATTGTTTCTGGTCTCAACAACTCTATGAAGTGCCTATTATCACAACTATTGTACAGATAGGGAAACCGAGGTTTATGGAAATTGGGTGACTGGGCTAGGGAAGCACTATTAGTAAGTTTGGAGCAGGTTGTGCTCTCTCTGGTACTCCGTGCTGCATAACAGAAACCCGGAAGGTGAAAATTTTCCCACTTCCCACCTTTGCACATACCATGCCTACTTCCACCTAAAATGCCTCTCCCTTCATTCTTATTGGATTCATATTCTGCCATCAGTATCTAGTTGAGGATGTACCTCCTCTGTAAAGTTCCTCCTTCTATCTCAATAAATCTCTTTTCTTGTAGGATTCCTGCAACAATCATCAAATATTACTTACATGGCCTTGAACCTAGGATAGCTTGTCAAGTTAATTCTCTTTTTCACATGCTTGCCCTGATGCTCTTACTCAGAGGCCTACAGACAGTACAATGCCATTAGAGCCAGACAGACTTGGGCCTTCTCCCAGTTCTACAGATTGTTTGATGGATGAGCTGAAGAAAGTTTCTTAATCTCTCTGAACCTTAGATTCTCCTTGGAGAATGATTATATCTTACAAAATACCTTTAAGCATTTGTCACAGTACTCAACAGACAGATAATGTTTGATACCCCTTCATCTTCTAACCAATTCCATTTTCTAGATTGGAAGCCTCTGGAGGGCAAAAACCTGGAATTCTACTTCACAATCTCAGCAACTAGCATTGTGCTCTATAATAGCAGTGATTAATACCTGGTATATAATTATGGTGATGACAGCCCTTACCTGCCTACTGCATCTCTCATTACTAATAAGATTTGTTTTCTCCTATCTTTCTTCCTTTCTTTCTTTCGCCATTTAGATTCCTTTAAGCCTCTCTGAAACTTGACCCTCTGGCAGGAACAGGTGCCATTACATACAGACACTCTCTCTCTTCCAAATTCACCCTGTCATATCAAAGGGAAAACTGAAGTGGTCCACTGTAGACCTGACAGATGATCACAAACAGGAAACCAGCAATCAGAAGTGCCTACTGAGCTCCCTACCCTGACCATCACCTACAGCTACATTTTACAGATACAAAATCATTGTTTGTTCAACTTTCATATCAAAGGATGCTATTAGTTCATTTCCAAAGGTGGGAAAATGTTTCAACTTACTTTATTACTTGTCTGCTACTTACTATTTTCCCTCCGTTTGCCTGCCTGACTTCTTTTAACTCTTCACTCAACAAATATCTACTGACTACTGAGCACTTGCCAAGTGCTAGGCCAGAGCTGGATGCTGTACTACGGGCAGATGAAGTGCTATGGGCATCCAGAGGTGGAAGAAGAGGGTATAGCGAAAGGGGAGAAAAGGCTGCAACAATATTCACTGAGCCCTGTGCTCCCAGGTCATCACATAGACTATGTCATTATTCCTCCTAACCACCCACATGAGTAAATAGGGGCTATTACTGAAGAAACAGAGGCTTACAAAGGTTGAGCAACTTGCCCAAGGTCATCTATCACAAGACACTACAAGTCAGACTGCTGAAGAGGGAGTTTCTGCTGAGAAGCTGAAGTGGGCAGCTCATATTGGATATGAAGGCTTCAAAGGAATCTAAATCCTAATGATCCCTCTAGAGCCAACATGCAGCACCAGTTTTCTCTTCCACATTTGAACTGCTCATCCACTTCCGGCTCCAAGACCTCACTCTCCATCTAAACTAGTCCCACGCCATCCATATCTTTCTCCACTAACGCCACCCAATCACAACCCCACAGCCTCTTAGTCATGAGTCATTTTTTAAAAACTGCAAACCATGTAATGAGCCATGGCAATATGCAACCCTAAACCTCAACACGTGTTTTCCACAACAAGGCCACAGGTGGCAGAAGCGAGCCTAAGGCCGTAGGACACTAAGGCAGGACTCTCTGGCTTGAGCTTTCCAAAAAGGGAGGTGAGAGAAGGTCTACCTGCGGGAAGTCATGCTGAAGGCCTGAGGCTGAGTCAAAGAAGGAGCCCCCTGGAGGCTCTGCAGTTCCTGGACTTCAGGTAGAGGAACTCTGCCATGAACACCTCTGGAATCGTGTCATTTTGGGACAATTAGAGAATATCAGTTTTCAGACTGAGTTCTATGGGAAGGTGCCTGCACAACAAAGGAGAGACGGAATGGACTTCAGGTCTTCCAAAATACCCCTCATGTTCACCAAGTTGCTCTCTGCTCTAAGATACCAGATGAGGGGGCCAGTGGGGACTGAAACCCAGTCCCCAGTCTGCTGGCCAATCCCTTTGCCTGTGAGGCTGCTCTGTCCTACCAGAGAGGGCACTTTTCATAATTTGCACCAAGTACAGAATAGGATAGTGTAGCTTTACCCTTCTCCCTACCATCAACCACAGACACATCAACACATGCACACATACAGCCACACAAATATACCTACAGGCATACACATACAACACAGGCACATACATGTTTGCACAAAGTCACATGTAGACACAAACGCAGAGCACACAGACACAAACACAGGCACAAACCCATACTTACACTACACACACACACAAACACACACAGACACACAAATGCAAATTAAGCCACAATGTAGCACATAGAGATATAGACACAGACGCAAATACAGTCACATAGAGATATAGACACACACTTATACACACATATATGTAAATATACAGTCTCATTCACTTTATACCACACATGTATAAACATACACAATTGTATGTAGACACACATACACATAGGTACTCAGACCGCATAGATACATATGTACACACATACAAATATATGCACATACACAGATATATATATACACACATGCATCTTTAACCAGAACAACTTTACTTTTGTCAGTTTTATATGACAGAGTCTTTAAAAAAAGATTTCATCTGGCTTGTGTTCTACTATTAAAAGAGAAAATGAATTTGCTTGTTTCAAGGATTCATGTTTCTTTCATTAATCAATCAGATACTTGATGACAATATATAGAAATAAAATGACAGTGAGGAGTATGCTCGGACATAATAGTAGCAGGTCTTTCCATGATCTGAACATTATAATTAGTTTTGTTTTAAATTTATATCATGATTTAAAAGTTTATGATTTTTGGCCGGGCGCGGTGGCTCACGCCTGTAATCCCAGCACTTTGGGAGGCCGAGGCGGGTGGATCATGAGGTCAGGAGATCGAGACCATCCTGACTAACAAGGTGAAACCCCGTCTCTACTAAAAATACAAAAAATTAGCCGGGCGCGGTGGTGGGCGCCTGTAGTCCCAGCTACTCGGGAGGCTGAGGCAGGAGAATGGCGTGAACCCGGGAAGCGGAGCTTGCAGTGAGCCGAGATTGCGCCACTGCAGTCCGCAGTCCGGCCTGGGCGACAGAGCGAGACTCCGTCTCAAAAAAAAAAAAAAAAAAAACAAAAAAAAAAAGTTTATGATTTTTAACAGTGCTACATAATGTATGAAGCCAGGACTCCTGTTTTATTGATCACACACTCTGAGATAATTACAAATATTGCTTTCCACCCCATCTCCTTCAGCTCCAAAAAATCCTCTGGAGATTTGGAGAATTAGATGTTAATTAGGGGAAGGATTACATTATTAGGAAGTATACTAGGCAGGACTTTTTGGGTTGCAAGAAATAAAAATATAACTCAAATTTGCTTAAACAAATACATAAACCAAAAAGCTTTGATTTATATAACTGAGCATTTCAAAGGGAAGTGAAATTCAGGAAAGGCTGAATCCGGGGATTCCAATTATGTCTTCAAGGATCATTTTTTCTCCATTTTCCATCTCTTAACTTCTGTGTTGACTTCATACTCAAGTAGGATTATTTGGGTGAAAGCAAAGATGGCAAGCAATTGCTTTACCGTCACAATGTCCTTCTAAATCTTGGTAGGAGGAGGGTGATGATACCTCTACACTCATATTTCTTACAAGAGTGCGGAGCAAGGCTTCAATTGGCCTAGTTTGGATCAAGTGCCCACACTTAACGATGGGTTGGAATGAGATAAGCCTTATCTTAACCAGAAGGACTGAATGGTGAGGGGAGATAATTCCCTAAAAAGTTACTAGGCAAAAAAAAGGAAACATATTTCCTCCTCTCCTACTCCCAACAAACTTAATACTACACTTATGGGCCATCTATAAGTCAGGCTCTATGCTGGGGCTAAGGGCACAAGAAAAAAATATTCACACTCATTCACTATAGGAGCCCACAGACTAGTGATGTAAGCAAATTGTACAAGACAGAAAGAAACAACCAGAAAATAAAAGTTCGATAATATAAACTTTACCAAAGACACTGATAATAAAATAAATAGGTAAGCCAGAGTGGGAAGAAATATTCACAAAACATATATCTGCCAATGATGTTAATCCAAAACATATAAATAATGTCTATAATTCAGTAATAAAAAGACAAACATCCAATTATAAAAATGGGCAAAAGTTTTGAACAAACACTTCACAAAAGAAAACACATGAATGACCAATAAACCCATGGAAAACTTTTCAATATCATTACTTATCAGAGAAATGCAAATAAAAACCACAATGAGATATCACTACACAATGTCTAGAATGGCTAAAATTAAAGAGACTGACAACAACAAATACAGGAAAAAATGTGGAGTAACAACTTCTTATGTATTGCTGGTACATTTAAGTCTTTAATCCATTTGAGTTTACTTTTGTATATGATATAAGATAGGGGTCTAGTTTCATTCTTCTACATGTGGATATCCAGTTTACTCAAAATCATTTATTGAAGAGGGTGTTCTTTCCCCAGTGAATGTTCTTGGTGCCTTTGTTGAAAATCAGTTGGCTGTAAATACATGAATTTATTTCTGGGCTCTCTATTTTGTTCCATTGGTCTATGTGTCAGTTTTTATACCATGCAATATTGCGTTGGTCACTCTATCTTTGCAGGATATTTTGAAGTCAGATAGTGTGATGCCTTCAGCTTTGTTCTTTTTGCTCAGTATTACTTTGGCTATTCAGTCTTTTGTGTTTCCATACAAATTTTAGGATTGCTTTTTCTATTTCTGTGAAGAATGTCATTGGTCTTTTGATAAGAATTGTACTGATTCTGTAAATTACGTTTGGTAGTATGGCCATTTTAACACTATTAATTCTTTTAATCCATGAACATGGAATATCTTTTTATTTTTTGTATGTCTTCAAATTTTTTCATCAGCGTTTCATAATTTTTTTTGTGAGTCTTTCATGTTCTTGGCTAAATTTATTCCTAAGTATTTCACGTCCTTGATTAAATTTATACCTAAGTATTTTATTTCTTCATAGCTGTTATAAATGAGGTCACTTTCTCAATTTCTTTTTCAGGCAGTTTATTATTGGTGTTTAGAAATGCTATTGATTTTTGTGTGTTGATTGTGTATCCTGCCACTTTACTGAATTCGTTTATCAGTTCTAAGAGTATTTTAGTGAAGTGTTAAGGTTTTTCTGTATATAAGATCATGTCGTCTGCAAACAGGAACAATTTGGCTTTCTCTTTTCTAATTTATATGCCCTTTATCTCTTTATCTTGCCTAATGGCTCTGACTAGTACATCAAGTACTATGGTAAATAACAGTGGTGAAGGTGGGCATCCTTGTCTTGTCACGGTTCTTAGAAAAAAAGATTTCAGCTTTTCCTTATTCAATATAATGTTAGCTGTGTGGTTTTTTTTGTTAGCATAAAGTTTTTTTGTGTGATAAAATATGTCCCTTCTTCACCTATTAATAGTTGAGAATTTTTATCATAAAGAGATGTTGAATTTTACCAAATGCTTTTTTTATCTATTGAGATGTTTATAAGACTTTTGTCCTTCATTCAGCTGATGTGATATATCACATTTATTGATTTGTGTCTGTTGAAAAATCCTTGCATCCCTGAGATAAATTTCACTTGATCATGGTCTGTAATCTTTTTGATGTGCTGTTGGATTTGATTTGCTAGTATTTTGTTGAGAATTTTTACAACTATATTCATCAGGAATATTGGCCTGTAAGTTTTTTGTTATGTCTTTGTCTACTTTTGGAATCCGGTTAATACTGGCTTTTCAGAATGATACCTTTTAAAGAAGGTGTTAGTCCTTTAAAAGTGCGGGGTCAGGTGCAGTGGCTTACACTTGTGATCCCAGTGCTTTGGGAAGCTGAGGCAGCAGGATTGCTTGAAGCCAGGAGCTCAAGACCAGCCTAAGCAACTTAGTGAGATGCTATCTCTACAAAAAAGTTTTAAAAATGTTTAGCTTGGGCATGGTGGCATGCACCTGTTGAGAGGCTAAGGCAAAAGGATTGCTTGAGCCCAGCAGTTTGAGGTTACACTGAGCTATGATTGCACCATCGCGCTCTAGCCTAGGCAATCAGGAAAAAAAAAAAAAAAAAGTTCAGGAGAATTCAGCAGTAAAGCCATCTGGTCCTCGGTTTTTCTTTGTTGGTTGGTAGATGTTTTATTACTGATTCAATCTTGTTACTCATTACTGGTCTGTTTAGGTTTTTTATTTCTTCTTGGTTCACTCTTTGTAGGTTACATGTGTCCCGGAATTTTATCCCCTAGGTTTTCCAATTTGTTGGCATATAGTTGTTCATAACAGTTTCTAATGGTACATTGTATTTCTATGGTATCAGCTATATTCTCTCCCTTTTTATTTGAAATTTTATTATTTGGATCTTTTGTCTTTTGTTCTTAATTTAGCTAATAGTTTGTCAATCTTATTTATCTTTTCAAAAACTGATTTTTCATTTTGTTGGTCTTTTATTTTTTTATTTCTTTTATTTAGTTCTTCTCTGATCTTTATTATTTCTTTTCTTTTACTAATTTTATGTGTGCTTTGTTTTGGCTTTTTTAGTTCCTTGAAGTGCACATTAGGTTGTTTATTTGAAATTTCTACTCTTTCGTTGTAGGAATTTATTGCTGTAAAATTCCCTCTTAATAATGCCTTTGTTGTATCCCATAGACTTCAGTATGTTGTGTTTCTAGTTTCACTGGTTTTAAGACATTTCTTAATTTACTTCTTAATTTCTTCATAGACCTATTAGTGGTTCAGAAGAATATTTTTAATTGTTTTATATTTGTACAGTTTCCAAAGTTTTTCTTATTATTGATGTCCAGTTTTATTTTATTCTAGTTTTATTTCACTGATATTATTTGATTTTTAAAAATTTGTTGAACCAAAAAGAGCCTGAATAACCAGAGCAATCCTAAGGAAAAAGAACAAAGCTGGAGGCATTACATTACCTGACTTTAAGTTATATTACAAGGCAATGGTAACTAAAACAGAATAGTACTGGTATAAAAATAGATACATTGTTCAATGGGATAGAATACAGAACCTAGGAGTAAAGTTACGTATTTACAGCCAACTGATCTTTGACAAAGAATACTGAGACGAGCCTATATTGGGGAAAGGATACCCTTTTCAATAAATGGTGCTGGAGGAATTGGATTGCTATATGCAGAAGAATGAAACTGAACCCCTATCTCTCAACATATACAAAAATCAACTCAAGATGGATTAAATACTTTGATGTAAGACACAAAACTTTAAAAATACTAGAAGAGAACCTAGGGAAAACTCTTCTGGACATTGGTCAAGCAAAGAATTTATGACTATGACTAAGATCTCTTCTCTTTTCCCATCTCTTCTTCTTCTTCTGGAACTCCCAAAGTTTGAATATTTGTTTACTTAATGATATTCCATATGTTATGTAGGTGTTCTTCATTTGTTTTTATTCTTTTGTCTTTTTCTTTTTGTCTGACTGAGTTATTTCAAAAGACCTGTCTTTGGGTTCAGAAATTATTCTTTTTGATCTAATCTATTGTTGAAACTCCCAATTATATTCTTTATTTTATTCATTTAATTATTCAGTTCCAAGATTTCTGTTTGGTTCCTTTTTATGATATTTGTCTCTGTTGAATTTCTCATTTGGGTCATAAATTGTTTTTATTATTGCTTTGTATTATCTATCTGTGTTCTCTTGTATCTCACTGAATTTCCTTAAGATCATTAGTTTCCATTTCTTTTCAGGAATTGCATAGATTTTCCTTTCTTTGGGTCTGCTCCTGGGGAATTACTGTGTTCCTTTGGAAGTATCATGTTTCCTTGTTTTTCTATGTTTCTTATATCCGTACGTTGATATCTATACATCTGATGTAACAGTTGCTTCTTCCAATTTTATGGAGTACCTTTTGTAGGGGATGATTCTTTTCCTGTAGATGTATCTATAGTGTCAGTTGAGTAGGGTACTTTGGCTTTGGATCTGGGTGGGTGCAGTATAGTCTTTGTATGATTTTTACATCTATAATAAATGTCAGTGTTACCTGTGAGCTTCTTAGTGGCTTAGGCTGTGGTTGTTTGTGAAGGCTGTGAAGCATTTTTGCTGGGGACAGGGACACTAGGCAGTCTGGGCTTTGTGTTTCTCAGGGGCACACATGGGTATGTGGTCTCCCTGCCCCTCAAGGGGGCAGGTTCATAGGTGGTGGCATTAGGCCCCAGGTGGGCTGGTCTTTAAGTCCTGGACAGTGCAGTGGGCCCTGGGCAGTCTGGTCTTTGGGTCTCTGGATGGCACATGCAGGCACGCAGCAACCCTGCCACTGTAAAGTGCAGGGCCACTGTCAGTGGAGAGATACCGCTCAGATTCTGGGGAATGTGTACTTCAGGTCTTTATGTCCTGGGGCAATCCCCCTGATGTACTGAACTGCCTTTGCACTGGGATATAGGGTACTGCCTGGAGTCAGGTGCCAAGGTCACATCTGCACTGCTGATTCCAGCTGGTTTCATGATGCTGCATCCTTCTGGGTATCTCTCGGGGGGATGTCAAGGTGTTCCCCAGGGATGTGGAAGTGCTAGAGCTATTGAGCCCCAGGGCAGGATTTAGTGGTGGCTTTGTTCTCAAAATAATGCCATGTTGCAGCAGCCTGGGCCCCAGAGGATGGGGGTGCAGTGTTGATTTCTTCTTTGGGATTGCAGTCATGTGGACTCCAGGCAGCTTCCTATACTAGGCTCATGACCTCTGAGGGCTGGAAGACTCTTCTTAACTCAGAATTGCAGGCATATGTGGTGGAATGTGGACTGCTAGGGATCTCCCACTTACCTCTTCTGGCTATGAGGAGTCTCTCTTGCCTCAGAGTTGCTTCTGTCTAGCTGCTTCACTTCCCTCTCTATGCTGCTATCTCAAGTTTCTATGCCTCGGAGGGTCTTTCTCAGTTCCTTCCTGAATTCCAGTGTTCTCCTTTAGATGTCCTATGTGAAGCCTGGTTATCTATTTTTTGCTTTGGTCCTTTTTTTGTGGGCAACACCACTTCTGGGTGCCTCTATGCAAGCATCTTAATGAAATTCTTTGCACATATCTATGTGATTGCATTTATGTGACGTTTTAATCGAATCTAAACTAATTAAAATTTATAATTTATGTGAAGTCTAATCCAATCTAAACTAATTTATAGTGGAAAAAAAGTCATTTGATAATTGCCTTGAGAGAGTAGAAGAGGTTGGGGGAGCCAAACTGTGAAGGAACATAAGAAAACTTTCTGGAGTATTGAAAATGTTCAAAACATGGATAGGTTTGTGAGTTACATGAACATATCTATTTGTAATTGTTCATTTCATTATATATAAATTTTACATCAAATGCATAATTTACTTGGGGGTAAAGAGTGATGGGATGTATAGAAGAATTAGTAATGGCAGGAAGTTTATAGTTGAAGTTGTATGATGGGAACACAGGTTAATTAAACTATTCTATTTACTTTGCATATGTTTGAGATTTTTTGATAAGTTTTTAAAAAAGATTTTGAAACAAATTAAAATCTAACAATGTGGTGATTTTTATGAGAGTATTAGGAATTAAGTGCTGTGGAACCACAAAACCTGGAGCAATTACTTGCTTGGGGAGATAAAGAATGGGAAAGGCTCTTGAAAAAAAAAAAAAAAAACACATCCCAACAGAGGTGACATTTGATTTGGGATTTAAAGGCCAAGAAAGACTAAAGCAGTTGGAGATGCCCAGAATAGATAGTGAGTGATTAGAGAACATTGTGGAGCTTCTAGATAGAGTGCAAATTATTGCCAATACTTTGTACTCTTCTGGAATAATCCTTTTTTCATGGAAACAGTGAAGCAGAATGAACAGGACAGAGGAACCCAAGTCAGCCTATCCTACTCAGAGTGTCCTTGGATAATTTAAGTTGCAACACTTCTTTGCACTTTAGTTTTCTTATCTGTGAAGTGAGGGGATTCAACAAGGTTATACCTTCAAACATTTGAAAATTTTCTGAAGTCATAAGCTAGTGTGACAAAGCAAGATATAGAATACAAGGCCTGAAAACATCTAATTCCCAGAACTTTTCTACGGCCATATTTCATGTATTCTGTGATACACATTATTGTTATTATTATTATTATTATTTTATTTTTATTTATTTTTGTTTTTTGAGATGGAGTTTCACTCGTTGCCCAGGCTGGAGTGCAATGGTGTGATCTCGGCTCACTGCAACCTCTGCCTCCCAGGTTCAAGCAATTTTCCTGCCTCAGCTTCCTGAGTAGCTGGGATTATAAGCATGTGCCACCATGCCCGACTAATTTTGTATTTTTAGTAGAGATGGCGTTTCACCATGTTGGTCAGGCTGGTCTTGAACTCCTGACCTCAGGTGATCCACCCACCTCAGCCTCCCAAAGTGCTGGGATTACAGGCATGAGCCACCACACCCAGACTAAGATACACATTCTTACTTAACATTTAACATTGAAATCAGGGCATACCTTATAATCGATGATGTCAAATTACCAATGCTATAGCATCACTGCCTGCCTACAAGTACTTGGTTATAATTCTTGGACAGAATGACTAGACAACTAAAGCCATTGATGTTTTAATCAACAAACCACCTATAGACCTTTGGAGAAACAAATGCAAGTTACAGTTACTGTCTGGAAAACTTCCACTGGTATCTTACAGTAAAATCAAAAAAGATAGCATCAGCATCAAATTTTGTGAATTGATATCAGTGGCTTGACAGAACATTCCCAAGACAACAGTGTAGCACTCTTTAAAGAAATTCTGCATTCTTCAATACTTTTGATGGCTCAGTTGACAATATTGTGAGGAGAAACACATCAATAACTGAGTTAAAAAGTGCTTCAGAAGAGGTGAACCATTCAAAATGTGAAGTCTTAGTCTTAATGAATTTTGCTTACATTTTCCTTTTTACATATACAAAGGGGCAATATATGATTAGAGTATATGTCTGAAAAAGTCTAAAAGAGATTTTCATTTTAAAAGTTATGTCTACAGTCTAAAAAATATTTTCTCAGTATTAATAATACAAAATGGAAACTCAAAGTAATACAGTATGTCATAGTTGAACTGACAATGCTTTTTCTTTCTAAGATATATGTAAAATGATAGTTTATCTAGTGGAGTCTTAACTTTCTGAAACCTGATGCCTCCCCCAGTACTTTCTTCCTGTTTCTCTATACTTTTTTTGAGACTATCGATTAATTGTCATTTCTGAGGGCTTTCCATGTATAGAAACTATACCAGAGCTTTATAAACATACTCTTCACCAATCTACTGAAAACTTTATGGGGAGATAACCATTATTATATTATACCCACTTAATGTTGAGGAGATTCAGGTGTCTTACTCAGAGTCACATGCCTTGTGACACATTCCTTTCTGAAATTAGTAGAGAACCACAAAATGAACCTTCCCCGGCCCAGATAAACTTTCTAGAATCCATCAGCTCCTGTGATTTGGGGAGGCACAGCAGAAGGTACAGAGGTTTAAAGCAGTCCCCACATATACCTTAAGAAAGGCTGCCAGCATGCAGTGGCATAACAATCATAAGCTTTGGAATGAGAACCGGGTTTCAATATCAACTCTGCTACTTGCTAGTTGTATAATTTTAAGCAAACTATTTAAGTTCCCTGAGTTTCGGTTTCTTCCTCTGAAAAATGGGACTAATATCTACTTCTAAGAGTTGTGCGAGGGTTCAATAATTCACTCACTCATTCGTGTATTCAACAAGTGTTTACAGAGTGCTCAACTCATATTAGGCACTGTATGTCAGGTAAATGAATACTCTATGAAAGCCCCTAGCAGAGCACCAGGTATATAGCAGGCACTCAGAAGATTTGTTATTTTGTTTTTATTTTTCTGGACCTATTTCCCCTTCATATCAGCCTGTCATTTATATTTTGGTGAGTCCCCTCCACCCGTAGTCTATAGGACTGCTGTAATTACATGCCCAGCCTTTTCCTAGCCTGGAGGTGAGCATGTGAACCAAGCCACGCCATGGATACCCATCTCTGGAATGTGAATCTTCAGCAGAGTGACAAAGCGACTGAAAATGGTAGGAGTTCATGCTTTCTACCGCTGCCAAAACTCTTCCACCTCGGAAGGAAGCTGTCTCTCCAAGCCTGATTCTCCAGTGTTGCTATTGTTTTTGTCTGTTTTGCAATTATGTTATCATTCCAAAAATTCCCTTTTGCATAAGTTAGCCAGAAGCCATTTTTGTCACAGGCAACCAAAGAAATCAGATGCCCAGTTAAAAAGAAAAGTTAACTCCTCTTTCCCAAACATCTATTATATAGCTAGGAGAATAGAAGAAGTACAAAAAAAAAAAAAAAAAAAGGTAATTAATGGTACATAGAATTTAGAAATACTCACTTTGGCAGCATATATACTAAATTCAGAATATTTCATGTCAGATATTCTAAATAAAAATTCCATTGACTTACATTGGTGGGGGGATTACTAGGGAAAGGCATAGTACACATTGCCTCATATAAAACTCACTAGAACCTGTGTAGTAGGTAGCATCATCACCCCTGTTTTTTAGATGAAGACATTAAATCTCAGAGACATTAAGTAACTTGCTTACATGACCAGCTATAGAATTTGTGGGGCCTAGTGCAAAATAAAAATGCAAAGCCTCATGTTAGCAAATTATTAGGAATTTCAAGACAGTGATAGCAGAGCACTAAACCAAATTCAGAATTCCCCTGAGCTTGCTCACCTACCCCCACCCCCAACCACATATGACTGCACAGGTCACAAACTCGCAAAGTTGGGCTTGCTAGCTTAAGTTAGTAAGTGGAAAAGCTGAGACTCAAGCACAGGTCTGTTGGTCTTGGAAGTCCAGGGTCTCAATTAGTAAGTATGCCTGTAATGGGAATGCCCTAAATCAGGCTGAAACTGATAACCATTCCAGCTCATTCAGATTGTCTAGTCATTGCCCTCCATCTCCTACCCATAGAGCAGCTGGGGAATCAGATAAAAGGTTGATGAGGAGGAGGACTTCAGGAACTCACAGGAAAAAGTACTTAATCTGGGCCAGAAGTGACAAGCCTTACTCTTCCCAGCCTTCCTCCTGGTGTTATTTAGGCTACGCCCCTTGAGAGGGTCCTAGACCAATTACAGCAAATTTAGAGGAGCCTGAGCAGGACAGTGAAGGCACTTCATACAAGTGTTTACAGAATTGGGAGTGGTTAGCCAGGAGACCAGAAGAATCATGGCTGTCGTCAAATCTCTTCTTCCCTGGGGAGTTAGAAGCTCTGTGACAGCAGGGATCTATCTTGCTCATCATGATACCCCAACTGTCTGGCATAGTGCCTATGATATAGTTAATGCTCAAGAAATAGTAAATGAAGGAATTAATTAAAGAGCCTGCCGAATGTTAATTGGGAGAGGGATTAGATGTGTTTTGTCCCCCTCTCCCCCCAGGAGGAAATCAGTTTTAAAGTAGTAGGTAAATTTTGATGTTTGAATATAAGAAAGTTCTACAGCCCCAAGATGGAACAGAGCACTGGTAGGTCCTTTTCATAAGAGGGTCTTGAGTGTGGAGATGGTGACAAGAATATTTCCTAAGTGCATTCCTTAGAATACCAGATATGGCAAATAGGTTTCTACTCCCATGGCAGTTCCAAATGATTGATAGTGGCTACCTTTCTTGCAGGAAGAAATTGTGCTGTGATCAATTACTGATGCTCGCTATGAGCACATGAATGCCATTTTAATGTCTTTCTTAAACCTCAGTGTTTGTGACTCTACGAATCTGCACATTTTATCCAACCCAGAAATGATGGGTAAGGTTAACTTCAGTGCTCCAATGTAAGGCAAATTAATTGAAACTGAGCTCATCTCTATGTGTGGCTAGACCAATGCCTAACTTTCTTACTTCAGAGGCATTTTCCTACCCTAATTAGAAAATTATTTGAAACACATTGTTGTTCAATTCTAGTTAAATCCAAATTTATGGAGGTTTTGAGGATTTTTGTGTTTTAGTTTTGAGTTTGGCTACTATAAATATAATATCCAGCCCCACTGGGAAATTCTGGATGTCACATTCACTATGCTTACAGATGTCTGTGCAGATAGAGCTCTGAATAAATCTGTCTAAATAGCAATAAAGAATTACATTACTTCATAGCAATGTTAACCTTTGGAGGCAAAAGCCCAGACACGTTGAGGAATGGAAAATGAGGACAGAGGGGGTACAATTCCATTAGCTCTCTTCAAAAGAAAAGGCCAAAAGGGGATTAAAATCTATAGCACGTTCAAAAAGGGCAGAAAATAAACCAGTCCAACTTTGAAGAGTAAAGATTGAATATTTGCCATTGTTTCCTGTGTCCTCCACAAAAGGGGTTTATTAATTTACACTTAAGGCTGTGCCTAACTCAGTTAATTGAGTTTTAAAAATGAATAATGGACTCATTCTCTTAAAGGAAGAAACAATCACCTACACAATCTTCATTTCTTGTAGCCTGTATTTTATATCTTTATTTTAATCAGAGATTTTTAAACCTGGGTATCCAGGGATGCCATTTTTTTTAATAGAATTCAGAGAGTCACTAAAATTTTATTCAAAATTTTGTGTGTGTGTGTGTGTGTGTGTGTGTGAGAGAGAGAGAGAGAGAGAGAGAGAGAGAGAGAGAGAGAGAGAGAGAGAGAAATGGTCCACAGCTAGCTTTATACTCCTGAAAAAATTAAGAAACCCTAGATCAATTTCCTCATTTTATCTTGATTCAGATATTCACTGAATGCTGAGCTATGTGCTAAATACTATCCTAAATATTTTAACTAAAGATTTCTTCATCTAACCCTTCTGTGAAGTAAGTAATATTGTCTGCCCCTCACCATATTTTCTTCTCCAGGAAACAGAAACTCAGAGTTTAAATAACAGTAATTGCTACCATTTACTGAACACTTCTAATGTACTGATTGTTTTTATATCTCCTTTAATCTTACAACAATTCTATGAAGTAGATGTTATTTCCTTCCCATTTAATCGATGATGAACTAAATAGTCAAAAAAGTTTGGTTACTTATGAGGCTGTTTGTCTAGGTATCTGACACATGGATTTGAGCTCAGATATAATACCAACTCCCGAACTTTAGTCATTACACCATGCTATCTTTTCTTAATAGCCTGCAGCATTTGCTCATGAGTATGCTTCACCTTGAATAGCAGGATATTATTTAATAGGAGCTCCCATAGCATTCACTGCCTAACTGACCCCTCTTATTATCTGAATTAGTCACACTGACTTCCCTTCCTTTCCATCCATACACATTTCAGAAGAGGCAATATATTTCATCAAATAGAAGTAACCTAAAAATATCTTGCAGCTTTCCTTCTCCGGAAGCTTTTCCCAGGCCAGCAAAAGTTGTGTCTACAAGTATTTGCTTGCATGGTTCCTGTGAGGCTCTCTCACAAGCCAGTAATCTGTTCCCTATTTGGACTCAGTTACGTTTGTTGCTGGGATGAAGATGAGTCTTCCAGACAGAGATGAAGAAAGATAACAACTAGAGACGGATAGAGTCAGCAGAGGGGATTCTCCCTTTTCTATATATGTATTTCTTATCTTCCAAGGCTCCACATAAAACCCCCTTCTCAGCCAGGCGCGATGGCTAACGCCTGTAATCCCAGCACTCTGGGAGGCCGAGCGGGCAGATCACAAGGTCAGGATATCGAGACCAACCTGGTTAACACGGTGAAACCCCGTCTCTACTAAAAATACAAAAATTAGCCAGGCATGGTGGCGGGCGCCTGTAGTCCCAGCTACTTGGGAGGCTGAGGCAGGAGAATGGTGTGAACACGGGAGGCGGAGCTTGCAGTGAGCCGAGATCGCGCCACTGTACTCCAGCCTTTGCGGACAGAGCGAGACTCCGTCTCAAAAACAAAAACAAAAAACAAAAAACCCTTCTCCAAGAAACTTCCTCTTGGACATTTGATCTCTTGAGCACTTGCAGTTAGCACCACACTACAATTGAAGAATTGCCAGCAAGAAGAAGAGGTATGAAATATTTAATATAATAATCACTCAGTCACCCAAGTTTTTGTTTATACTCTGTAGAGCGTCGACGCTTCTGAGTGAAGTAGTTCTAATATTTCCTTACAGGAGTTAGAGGGGCCAAGTGTGAACAAAATGATTACAACAACTGTCTTAAAGGCTACAATAGTGGTATTTTTCAAGTAATATAGCAGCATAGAGGAGATAACAACAAAGTCTCCTGGGGGCGTTCAGGAATACTTCACAGAGGAAGTAATATTTAAGTGTGGTTCTCAACAAAGAGTAGGAATTTTCTGAGAGAGAAAAAAAATGGTGATAAAGACATTCCAGAAGGGGGCTGGAATAGAGGCATAAACAGTTATGATGTGTTTGGGAAGAGTAAGACTTTCAGTATGACTAGACTAGACGGAAATTGTGTTGAGAGATGAATCTGAGTTTGGGGTTTCTATTAGTCCATTTTTGTGTTACTATAAAGGAATACCTGAGACTGTGTAATTAATAAAGACGAGAGGTTTAACTGGCTCACAGTTTTGCAGGCTGTACAGGCATGGAAGCAATATCTGCTCAGCTTCTGGTGAGGACCTCAGGGAGCTTTCAATCATGGTGGAAGGTGAAGGAGAGCCAACGAATCACAGAGTGAGAGCAAGAAACGGGGAGGTGCCACACTCTTTTAAAGAACCTCTTTTAAACAACTGTTACAACAGGAACTCACTTATCTCCAAGAAAATTGTGCTAAACCATTCATGAGGGATCTGTCCCCATGACCCACTCACCTCCCAGCAGACCCCACCTCCAACACTGGGAATCACATTTCAACATGAGATTTGGAGGGACAAACATCCAAACCATATCAGGGTGAGACTGTGAAGGACCTATGTGTAGGCTCTGCTCTTGACTTCATTTTGCCTGTACAATATCATTTTCTTTTCAGTTATTTGAATATCTTACTGCATTTTACCTTATTCCATTATATAAACAAGTGGGAAATAGGAGTTAGAAAGACTGATTATGAAGATGAGAAGCAAACAACTATATAAAGAATGCAGTTTTCAAAGACAGAAACCATTAAATATGCCTAAACCAATGATTGTCTTAGCTTTAATTAAAGACTTATGGGACAAAAGACTGTGGATACAGTGTGGAGAAAATGAACTACATTTTAAAAAGTACTTTTCCTTTAAAAAAAAAATTCTAGGAGAAGAAACGCAGAAAGGAAACAACAGTATTTTTAGCATGACTGTTCTGTGTTGTTATTGCACCAGAATTTAATTAATTGCAACTTTTAGTTCATGATATACTCTCATTATGTGCACCTTTTATTTTATTAATAATAACATAAATATTGTATTTGATGAACCTGCCACCAAACATTAAAACTAGAACATTGGCACCTACTTATACTTTCCCACGTGTTCCTTTTCTTCCATCCTCTCTGTCTTCCCATTCAAATTAACCCCTTTTCTAACTCTCCTAACTCCTGTTATGTCTATCTCCTTATTTTAATATACCATTTATACAGACATACTATTACATAGACCATATACATATACTAAGTATATATGCTTGTGTATATATACACAGACACATATATAATATATATACTATTTATTTTTATTTAAATTTTTAAAATTTCAATTGCTTTAGGGGTACAAGTGGTTTTTGGTTACACTGACGGATTGTACAGTGGTGAAGTCTAGGATTTTAATGTATCCATCACCCAAGTAGTGTACATTGCACCCAATAAGTAATTTTTTATACCTCCCCAATCCCCCTGCCTTCTGAGTCTCTAATGTCCATTGTATCACTCTGTCTGCCTTTACGTGCCCATAGCTTAGCTCCCACATATAAGTGAGAACATGAGGCATTTGGTCTTCAATTCCTGAGTTACTTCACTTAGAATAATGGCCTCCAGTTTGTAAAATACATTATTTAGTTCTTTATTATGGCTGGGTAGTATTCCATATATATATATATATATATATATATATATATATATATATATATATATATACCACATTTTTTTAATCCACTCTTCAGTTGATGGGCAGTTAAGTTGATTCCACATCTTTGCAATTGTGAATTATACTGCAATAAACATACATTTACAGGTGACTTTTTGATATATTGACTTCTTTTCTTTTGGGTAGATACCCAGTAGTGGGATCGCTGGATCAAATGGTAGATCTACTTTTAGTTCTTTGAGAAATTTCCATCCTGTTTTTCATAGAGGTTGTACTAATTTACATTCCCATCAGCAATGTATAAGCATTCCCTTTTCATCACAGCCACACCAACATCTAGTGTTTTTTTGTGTGTGTATATACATATATATATATATAATACTTTAAGTTCTAGGGTACATGTGCACAACGTGCAGGTTTGTTACATATGTATACATGTGCCATGTTGGTGTGCTGCACCCATTAACTCGTCATTTACATTAGGTAGGGGGAGGGGGGACAGATGGCATTAGAACATCTAGTGTTTTTTGACTTTTTAATGGTCACTCTGGCTGAGATAAGGCAGTATTTCATTACAGTTTTAATTTGCATTTCCCTGATGATCAGTGATGTTGAGCATTTTTTCATGTTTCTTGGCCATTTGTATATCTTCTTTTGAGAAATGTCCATTCTTGTCCTTTGCCCACTTTTCAATGGGATTATTTGTTTTTTTTGCTGTTTTTTGTTTGTTTGTTTTTCTTGCTAATTTGTTTGAGTTCCTTGTAGACTCTGGATGTTACTCCTTTGTTGGATGCATAATTCAGACATGTATATTTATTATTACATTGTAAAGATTCAGTTACTCTGGCACATAGAGCTGAACTTTATTTCTTTTACTGCTGATTATATTCTCTTATGTGAATATACCAACATGCATTTATTCATTCTGCCACCGATGGGAATTTGGGTTTTTCCTTAATTACCTACCGTATGAAGAAATCTCTGATATTTTTCTGTCACCATTTCAAATTTCCCATCAATTCACTGAAATGAGTTTTATTTTCTTCATTTTTTTGGATGGGGACACTAAACTCAGAGAGAGTATGGCACTTTCCTGATCACAGGGCCACACAGTGGCAGAGCCAATGTTTCAGTTCACTTCTGTGCAAATCCAAAGCCTGCCTTAGCACTTCCTTCCTTCCTGGAGGCTCAATTTTTGACCCAGTCTGCTAAAGCCTCAGGAGACTTCCCCAGCTCATTCTTGTTTTTTTTCTGAGCCCTTTTTATGAGTCATTGCTGGGGTAAAGAGGGGATTTCTGGAGCTACCCCTGTCAGTAGATGTCAAAACAACATGTTCACTCAGGCAATTCCATGGGTAGTAGTCAGTTACACTAAAAATTTTTGGTCTAGCCAGTTGGGCGGGGCTGCATTGACACAGCAAGCTGCTTGAATGAATTTTTTCCTTTTCTACCATTTGTGTTTTCACATAGGTAATAATAGTAATCCTTTACTTGTGAACAGAGCTGTCCCATTTCCAAAGCTCTCTCTGAGTAAGAAAAGTACTATTGGCCCCATTTCGCAGCTCAGGAAACCAGCTTTTAGGGAGATGAAGTGATTCAGCTACTAAGTGGTAGCTTGAAAAAGGGATTTCTAGTCCTGTGCATGCTCTGCTTTTCCATGCAAATATTTCCTGCTTAGATTAAATACATCACTCTGTGATGGAATCTGAAAATCCAATTCTCAGGACATTTCCCAAACACAGTCTTCTTCACTATTAAGAGTCCCATTATTTCCAGTGGAAAGATACCCAGTTGGTTCTCTAACCCCCAAAATATTTGAAAACCACAAATTTTGCTAAATGACAGTCACAATACAAGGAGGAGACGGGTGATGTCATGATGTCATTTGAAGGTGCTAGGATAGACTCCTCCCTTAAAAATCTTTCTCACTGTCTGTCACGGAGATTGAATCTCCACTGCTTCACCACTTATACCTGGGTTGTTTTCAACCTTTAAAAGACCTTTATGAAAAGGTGAGATCTAGTGTAGATCCTATTAAAAATATTAAAAACTTAGACAAATTGTTAGCTGTGTGTTCTTTCAATATTACATTGGAGTGCATTGTGTAATAGCCATACCCAAGGATTATTTAATTCTCTGTGGAAGTGCACTATTGTTTGACTCAGTGTTTTCTGTTGTTTAAGGTCCAGAGTCTGTGAAGAAACATAACTTATAGATTTTTTCCAGCACATGTGCAAATAATTTTATTTGGAAGAAAGTAACTGCAAAGATTAAGATTTTATTTCCCTGTAGGACATTGACAAGTTTTGTGTTTAACCCAGCAATTTTATTCCAACTTTTTTTTTTACTTTTATTTTAAGTTCAGAGATACATGTGCAGGTTTGTTATATATGTAAACTTGAGTCATGGGGGTTTATTATCTGATTATTTCATCACCCAGATATTAAACCCAGTATCCATTAGTTATTTTTCCTGATCCTCTCCCTCCTCCCACCCTTTACCCTCTGATAGGTCCTAGTGTGTGTTGTTCCCCTCTATGTGCCCATGTGTTCTCATCATTTAGAGCCCACTTATAAATGAGAACATGCAATGTTTGGTTTTCTGTACCTGTGTTAGTTTGCTAAGAATAACAGCTTCCAGCTCCACCCATGTTCCTGCAAAGGACATTATCTCCTTTTTTATGGCTGCATAGGATTCCATGGTGTATATGTACTATATTTTCTTTATTCAGTCTACCATTGATGGTCATTTAAGTTGACTCCATGTCTTTGCCATTGTGAATAGTGCTATAGTGAACATATGCATACATGTGTGACAAGTAGGATCTATTAAACTAAAGGGCTTTTGTACAGCAAAGGAAACTATCAACAGAGTGAACAGACAGCCTACTGAATAGGAGAAAATGTTTGCAAACTATGCATCTGACAAAAGTCTAATATCCAGCATCTATAAAAACCTTAAACAAATTTACAAGAAAAAGATCCCAAACAACCCTATTAAAAAGTGGGCAAAGGACATGAACAGACACTTTTCAAAAGAAGACATGCCATACATGTGGCCAACAATCATATGGAAAAAAGCTCAACATCACTTATCATTAGAGAAATACAAATCAAAACCACAATGGGATACCATCTCATACCCATAAAAATGGCTATTATTAAAAAGTCAAAAAATAACATGCTAGCAAGTTTGTGGAGAAAAAGGAACACTTATACACTGTTGGTGGGAGTGTAAATTAGTTCAACCATTGTGGAAGACAGTATGGCAACTCCTCAAAGACCTAAATATAGATACCATTCAACCTAGCAATCCTATTACTTGGTGTATACCCAAAGGAACATGAATTTTTCTATTATAAAGACACATCCAGCATTCCTTCTTCAGTGCATATAAACACCAGTGTCTCACACGTTTTTGTAGATGATCTTTACAAATGTGCTTTTTCATTCATGAATTAGATTGATCTTGGACATGTGTTCACTTTATTTTTCTCTATAATTAAAAAACTATATATATGTTGGCAGTCCTAATTTTTTCATGCCTAAATAAGGGTGTTTCAGTTATAATGTTGCATAATGAATTACCTAAAACTAGAAATGTAAAGCAGTAACCATTTAACTTACTTAGTGTTGTAGGTTAGACTTTGGGAAGGGCTTACTATGAAGTTTTTGCTTTGGGTCTCTCCTAGATTGCAGTCAGATACCTGCTGAGGTTATAACCATCTAAAGGCTGATTGGGCTGGATGCCCAAGATGGCTCATTCACATGGCAGTAGTTGATGCTGGCTCCCGGCTGGGAGCTCAGCTGAGGCTATCAACAGGAGACCCTGCACATACCCGGTATAACATGGGGATCTCAGGGAGTCAGACCTCTTAGGGGGTATCTGGCTTCCCCCAGGGGAAGAATCCTAAGAAAATCAGGTAGACCTACATGGCCTTTACTGACCAAGTTTGGAAAATCACATACATTCCTTCTGCTGTACCTCATTGGTTAAAACAGAATTAAGGGTAGGGGACATAGACCTTGCCTCTTTCTGGGGAGGGTGTCAAAGAATTTTTGGAGTGTGTTTCAAAACCATCAAATGGGAAACCACTTTAAACTTTGCAGAGAGAAGGAAAACTCATCTTTGAGTTATTACGTTGGCAAAAAGATGGTTGAGAGCAGGAAGGGCAAGAGAAGAAAGGACAAATAGAGATAGAGAAGCCAGAGAGTTTGTGTTACTTATAGTTGAAATGATTAGGATCTTCAATCAAGATTATGGGAAGGGGAAGGAGGAAATGCATATTAAAGACAATTCAAATGAAAAATTGAAAATATCTTGTAGCTGATTGGTTGTGATCTGCCCTACTATTTCTGTGACGAAGAGTCTGACTCTACTTTTTTGTAATGTTTGATTGTTGTCAAAAGACAAAATTGCAACAAATTTAAAGATTGAATCGGCTTCTATTTATGATTCTAGAATGTAGAATTTTGATGAACTGAGCAGAGGGGGTTAGTTTTATGGGCAGAAAAAGACTGAAGAAAGCAGGAAAAGAGAATGAAAAGAGAATTGGTCCTTTCACAGTTATTTTCTTATAGGATTAAATTAGAGGGACTCCATTATGCAGCTCAGGTAAATGGCTCCTTCTGGTTGGTTGCTATGATTCTCCTGTTTTGTTGTTTAAACTGCTCTATTTCAGAGTCTAGTTTGATTGCATGGCACCTTACATGAATGCGTCCTTTCTGGTTTGGTCTGGTCTGTTGGAACCGTGCAGAAGCTCAGTCCAAAACAATGGCCTTTCATAAACTTTAACACTGCTGACAGCTTTTAAG
Organism: Homo sapiens; assembly: GCF_000001405.40. Lineage (NCBI taxonomy): Eukaryota > Metazoa > Chordata > Mammalia > Primates > Hominidae > Homo > Homo sapiens. The sequence continues at coordinate 59,269,163 of NC_000001.11, read as the reverse complement.
CCTTATCCTCCCTCTTCTCCTTTTTCTCACATCTGGGCAAGCTGGTAAGAAAGACCAGTAACCCCTGCTTTGCCACAGTGGGAAACTCAAACCATGCATGGGAACCCTCACCTTAGCCACACCCCAGCCACCATATAAACCCCAAGTCTCCTTTTCCTTCTCTCTCAAGCCACTTTCTTACCTGCCTGAAGGTAATCTGCCCTCCCAAGAAAGCCTCATTATATGAGTAACAAACCTTTTCATTCCCTCTTGGGGCATGTGTGATGCCATCACTCTTGTGCAAACCACATTTTGGGTGGGGATCCATCCTATATCTTCAGGGTGTCTATAACAAGTTCCATGTCACACCATATGTAGTAATTTTGGTTTCTAAATATAAAAATAATAATAGTTATCATGTATTGGCTTCTATATATTAGGTATTGTTCTGGTGCTTTTTACATGTTAACACATTTAGTCTAAACAAGAGTCCTAGGAGGTAGATATTCTCCCCACTTTACAGATAAGGAAACTGGCCAGAGTAGATGAGTAGGTGGAAGGGAGGAATTGACCAAGATGCTCCTCCAGACTTGCAATGTGGTTGAGAAATTGGTGGCACCACTGACTATACTTGGAAAGAGTCGATATCTATTGGAAGAAAAGCTGTTTTAGACAGGCTTAGTTTCTGATGAAAGAGGGGTATACAAATGGAAGACATTCTTTGGCATTTAGAGATAAGGAATGTATTCAATAAAAGTGTATTGGGTACTGATATGGTTTGGATATGTGTCTCCTCTAAATCTCATGTTGAAGTATGATCCCTGGTCTTGGAGGTGGGAGGTATTTGGGCCATAGGGGTGAATCCGTCAGGATGGTTTGGTGCCATTGTCACAGTAATGAATGAGTTCTCACTCTGAGTTCACCAAGATCTGATTGTTTAAAAGAGCGTGACACCTCCCCTTTCTCTCTTTCCTACCTCTCTACCCAGGAGATGTGCTGCTTTCCCCTTTGCCTTCTGCCATGACTGTAAGCTTCCTGGGGCCCTCATCACAGGCAGATGCTAGTACCAGGGTTCCTGTACAGCCTGCAGAACCATGAGCCAATTAACCTATTTTCTTTACAAATTACTAGAGTCTCAGATAGAGACTATAGAGGCTTTTATAGTAATGCAAAAATGGATTAATACAGGTACCATCTAAGTGACAGACTCCAGGAGGGTGGTACACAACAGAGCTCAGGGAAGGGAATGAGACTTGTAGAGTCACATTCGATGCTAGGAGCTGGGATTCAGTTGCTAAGTGAAAGAAAAAAAAGCAGAGGGTTATGAACTCACATTTAGAGCATTAGAAAAAGAGAAAGAGCCAGTAAGCCAGACAAAGGATAGAAGTCTAACTATAGTGGAGTACCTGATTAGGTGGATACAAAATAGATTTTTAAAAATAAACTGTCATTTCTTCTTTGTTCTGAGAAAAGTGCCTTCACTTGATGGCCCTTCTAAGTTGCAAACATAAGGCAGTGGGGACCCACAACTGGAAGGAATTCTGTAAGAATCATCTTCTATTGCTTAGACAGGCTGCCTGCCTTGCTATGCTGAGAGGATCACTTGGATAGAAGTAGGCAAATTTGCATAGAAACCCAAATGGTCCTGGGCATGAAAGACTTGAGATCTGGACTTTTCTTTGGATTCTCAAATTTATTACACTCTTTCCAATAATTACAGATGGCCCCAGCTGAAGTCTACTGGCACAAAGGACACAGAGGTTTCCTAACAGGATCTACCTATGAGGACATTTCTGAACTGATGATACAGGTTTAATACCAGCACTTAGATGGTCACAAAAGAAGATTCATTTCAACCACATATGTGGCCTGTGATTCTGCTGGTGGGCATGATTTGAGGATAGTTGGGAGCATCTGTGTGGAGCACCTTTGGCCAAGAATAACACTGGGAAAGTTGTATTGTCCTTATTTAAAAGATCTCCTGCACCTTTGAATGGGACTAAGCTGGATATCACTGAGGCAGAAAGTGAGAATGAAAATAACTAGAAAGGACCAGACTGTGATGATGACCTCATGTAATAGTGTCAGAAGCTAAAGTTACTGAAAATAGAGCCACTCATAGACAGACCAGACTCTCCTAACTTCCCTGTGAGGACTAAGAATAAAAATAAGATTCTAAGCCCCTCAACTGACTGAAAGGACCATTGTTTGGCCAAGTAAACCCCAGAGAAACCTTGAAAACTGAGTTTTTGGACATGACTTGGGATGGGAGGTCAGGCACACCTCATTATATGCCCTCCCTTGCTAACTGCCATTAGGGTTTCTTTTCTAAGGGCTAAGCAGAAACCAGCGCTTTTAAAAGACTCCATCACTGATAACCAACTGCATTACACTGCCCCTTATATTTGGCATGATAAGAGAACCATAGAGTGGTTCTGGCCAGTCTACGGAGAATGCGCAGTAAGGTTTTTCATATCCTCTTTTTCACCTTTTAATGTCAGAGGGCTGAAAATTCCACCCTCAGATCATGCAAACACAACCATTTCCTTTTTAACATGGGCTCCCTGGGGAAGCATGAAGCTTACTTGCTATGCACACACTTCTCCTTTCATAAGTATTTAGGACTCCTCCAACAGCTTATTAAATATGTGTATTTGGTCACTCTGCTCAGCATAAATTCCTGTTCCCGTTGCCTCTCTCTCAAGGTGCCTGTTTCTGGCTTCTGACCAGAGGCTACACTTCTCAGCCTGTCAGAGTGTCCACCCTGTAGGCTGCAACACTATGAAAAATAAAGCTCTCCTTTTAAAATTTATGAACCTTATCAGTCTTCTGATGACAGGGGTGTTACAAACAGTACTGGGCTTTTGGATTAAGAAAGCAATTTAAAAGGAGGAAGCAAAAAGAGAGGGGAGCCTGAGCTAAGCTCATCTTAATTTTAAATAATAATAATGTGACATTAATTGAACCCCAAGTTGGTAAAGCAGGTCATACAGTTATGAGGACAAAGAAAGCACACTTATAAAAATTTTGCTACCATTGTTTGAATACTCACTAAGCACATTACCTTGCACTGTTCCTGATACATAGAAGATGCTTAATATTTGGTAATCATGACTAATAACATTAATTAATATATTATTGGTTCTAGTGGTTAAAACACTAATTTCAACTTGGTGGCAAACACAATTCTGGTAAAATAATCAAGTAATAATGCCAACGGTCACCTGCTTTTTAAATCTTATTCTTTAAGTGAACTCTGATCAGTGCAAGAAGGGCTATTGTTTGAGATTAGGAAGGAAAGGTGCTGCAAAAGGCATCATCACAGCCGAGTTGTAAGTGCCGGCAATCCTTCCTGCAGCTGGGAACTTGACAGGAAAGCAGAGACTCACTCCTCACCCACTAGGATGGTTACTAACAAGGCCTGCCTCTGATTGGCAGTAGGACAGGCTTTGTTTGCGTATTTTTCACCCTCCACATACAGCCCAACCCTGGGGGACTCTGCCAAGGAAGAAAATAATTACTTATAGATAGGGACAACTTGGCAAATTTCCAGATTTTGGAGAGGCATCTTCATCTTTCTCTTCTTCCTTTTTCTCGTCTGCCTTTGCTGTCTGCTTCTCTTTCTCCTTTTTCTTCTCTACTTCTTTCCATCCTAAATTCAAATCCCACATATCCACATATTCTCATCTATGTGACCTTGGGAGCATTTCTACTCCCACAGATGTTCTACCGACAATGACTTTGTGGTTAAGTAGTTTGGAGAAACCCAGGATACCAAATACCCTTCCTAGAAATTCACACTGCAACGTACCCTGTCTATAGCTCTGAGAAATTCTGTGGTGAAGGCACCATTTAACCCTGTTCAACCTAGGGCCTAATCTTCTTTGTTCACAAATACAATAATATTTATTTTTTCATGATATTTATTAATATTCCTCAGCACTAGGGCTCCAAGGGCTTTGGATCAGGGCATTCCAAGAAGGGGGAATAAGTACAAAGGTACAGAAGTGTAAAATAATTTTGTTTGATGGGGATGTTGTGGTGGGCGTTCTGGGAGAAAAATATGAAAGAAATTTGTTATGGCTGTTGTGCATAGAAAAGAGGAGAGTGTAGACAAAGGTCTGTATCACCAGGAATTAGTTTGTGAGGCACCTAGAAATGTCAATCTCAAAGCAAGTACAGAAGGTGGGTGAAAGGTACATTATACTAGGTCATCATCAAGTTTCATATACTTCTCTTACATTAGGAAGGTGAACTAAAAGATTGTGGTGAATATGCCTGGAAGTGAAATTAAAGAGGAAACCTAAGTTGTAAACTAGGTATTTGAGTTTTATTTTCTTCAGTGATTCTCAGCTTTTATCACATCATGGTACATGTATTAGGTTCTCCAGAGAAGCAGAACCAGTAGAAGATAGATGATAGATAGATAGATAGATAGATAGATAGATAGATAGATAGATAGATAGAAGAGGATATTTCATAGGGGAACCAGCTCATGTAGTTACGGAAGCTGAGAAGTCCTAAGATATATCGTCTGCCAGCTGGACTGAAAAAAGCTGGTAGTGTAATTCAGTACTTCAGTTCAAGTCTGAACGCCTGAACCAAGGGAGCTGATGTGATAACTCCTAGCCCAAAGCTGAAGGCCTGAGAACCATCCCAGGGAATGGGGATGGAATTGGAGGAGAGAGCGTGCCCTCACTGGTCCACATCCCAGAGTCTGAAGGCCTGAGAACTGAAAGCTTCAATGTTCATGGGTAGGAGAAGATGGATGTTCCGGCTCAAGAAGGAAAAGAAAATTTGTTCTTCCTCCATCTTTTTGTTCTATTTGGACCCTCAAGGGATTAGATTGTGCCACCCACACTGGTGAGGGGACATCTTTTTTACTCAGTCTACTATTCAACTGCTAATCTTTTCTGGAAGAACCCTCCACTTTGGGAGGCCAAGACAGGCAGATTACCTGAGGTCAGGAGTTTGAGACCAGCCTGACCAACATGGAGAAACCCTATCTCTACTAAAAATACAGAATTAACCAGGCATGGTGGCACATGCCTGTAATCCCAGCTACTCGGGAGTCTGAGGCAGGAGAATTGCTTGAACCCAGGAGGCAGAGGTTGCAGTGAGCCAAGATAGCGTCATTGCACTCCAGCCTGGGCAACAATAGTGAAACTCCGTCTAAAAACAAAACAAAACAAAACAAAACAAAAATAAAACTCACTAACATACCAAGAAATCATGTTTTACCAGCTTTTGGGGCATCCCTTAGCCCAGTCAAGTTCACACATAAAATGAACCACTATGGTACACATAGAAAATTGTTGTATTTTTGGTTTTGTAGGGTACACCGGAGTAAATGGAGAAGGATGCTTGGCCCCAGGGAGAAGACTGGTATCTTAAGCGACTGTAAGCCCCCTGTGGCAGGGCAGTGCATGCTAGGGCAGTTGGGAAGTGCTGCAGTAGGTGGTAGGTAGGGAGTAAGAGAAGAGCTGTAAGCAGGTAAATTACCTGATTGGGATAGCACAAAGGGGTCTTGTGGTCTTCAACTGAGACCCAGAAAGACTAGAAGTAGGTTGGTCCTTTCAGAGCCACCGTCTTGCTATGGTCCCTCAACCTCAGGATCTTTGTCACATGTCTTCCTTCTGCCTAGAGTTGCTCTTTCCAGCATCTCTGGTCTTCACCTTGTGATTGCCTGTTCAATGTCACTTATTCAAGACAGCTGTCCCTAATCCCTCAGACAAAGTCAAGTCTTCTTGCCCCTAACTTATATATATCTCCTCCTTACCACTGATTTTAATTTATAATTATGCACATATTTCCTTGGGTGGTTATCATGACTATTTGTCATGCTATTTTCAAGTTCCCTCCTCCCATCTCCACATAGCCAAATCCTAACCATCCTTAAGGCCTATCTTAAATTCCATTTCTCACCAGCCTCCACAGATGGAAATACTTTTCCTTTCTTTGCTGATCTATAAACATGGCTTCCAGACATTCCTAGTGGCTTCAAAAAACAGACATTCAGGGACTTTTGCCTACTACTGTTGTTTTCTGAGACTTGCCCTTCTTTCCCCCTCCTCCCTTCACATAGTTACTGTAAGATTGACCACCTTAATGCAGTGTGACTACAGCTGAGGCCTCATTGCTTGGTCCAGGGGTATATAGACTTGGACCCTGGGCCAATGAGTGGGTTCCTTGGGGTTTTTAGGTTTGGGTTAGAAAGAGTTGTATCAACCTGTTTCCTATAGCTGAAGCTCTAAGATACAGCTCTCTGAAGCTGTCAAGAGCCATGGATTTGATTTGTGTGAAACATAAGCCTACAGCAAAAGAGAAGAATGAAGCTGTACATAGAAGCAGAAATAAGATATTGTCCTGTCAACATGGTCAACCTGCCAGCTGTCAGATTTCAGTTGTTCCTGAGCCCCAACTATATCCAACCTTCACCCAGCCTTGGAACTGTGAGATACCCATGGATACTTCCAGTGCATTCTACATTTGCTTTATTTGGTTTAAGATGGGTTTCTGTCACTCTGTCACTAAGAACACAAACTGGTTAATATATGTTGACCACTTTTGAGAGCCCATTGGGATGGCATTTATTGCTTGAGTTGATCACCAGGATAAATGAAATCAAAACTGTAATGAAGGATCCTAGATTTTAACATATTGATTCTAAAATATATTTATCTAAAGTTTCCGCTGGGAGACAGCACAATCTGATAGAAAGATTATGGGCCTTGGTAGCAGACTTTGAGTTCATTTTTCCAAGCAGAAATTGTGAGGTTGGGCTATTGACTATGCTACTCTGAGCCTTATCTCTCAAATGGAGATAATAATACCTACCATAGGGAGTTATTATCCTATGGTGTAATGAATAATGCATTAAAGGACTTGACACAGAATCTGGCTCACCGTAGGCTTTCAGCATTCCACATTTCGCAGAAGCTAAGATATCATCAACTGCAATATGCATTATGATTTCATGTACCACTGAGAAAGGAGAAGCTGATTAATCAACTTTATGAGGCATTCCCATTTTAGAGTTTTTAAACTATAGAAAGAAGTATGTCTTAAAGTTGCTGAAATATACTAAATTGATTGGGCACAGATGATCCAGGCACAACGTTAGGCACTGGCCATATAGGAGGGAGTAAGACTGGCACTGCTTTCAAAGTGCTCAGGATCTAGTAAGTAATATATTTCAGATTTTCAAAAGGACCCAGAATAACCTTAGAGGACAAGTTCATCACTCAGAGATGGCTGGAACCAAGAAGTAAAGCAGTGGAGAAACACCAGACTTTAATCCCCTTATATGTTGTTAGATCCTATAGCAGTTACATTTTCATGCTCTGCATACAATCCAAAACAAATTGTCTGCTTACAATTAAAATCCTGCTGAGTTTCCAACAGTTCAGCCCCCAGGGAGCTATTTGAACACCATGTCTTATCCACAATGACGCAATTCTACTTTTAAGGGACAATTAAGGGGTTTCCTTGTAAGTTAGGCCAAACTTTCTCCAAAATACATGAAGGAAGTGCCTGGAAAAGAAAACATTTGAGGCTTGTTTTCATACTGTCACTTAAGAATAACAATTTCCAAAAAGAACTGAATTTTCTTTTATCAAATTTGGAAGGCTTGTGCTTTATAGCTCTTTGCAGGCTTTTGGTAGAACAGAACAAAGTCCCTTAGGAAACTTAATGTAACAGTAACCAAATGTCCTTGTTAAGCAGCCATTTATGGGTCTATTAAATCTGATCTGAACTGTGATATTTTGTGGTAAATCTTTTCTCCAATATAAATTGCTCAATATGGACTTCCTAAGGCATCTACTCCCTGAGAGACAACTTCAACATCATCCCAGAAAAGGCAAATGTGTTTGCATCTTCTTGGGCAATGCTTCCAGAAGGGTGGGGGTGGGGTTGGGGGGATTGAGAAAAGAATATTTTCTTTGCCTTATTTGCTTAAGAAGACTTAAAAATGATTTTAGAGATGGTTCAGCCTAAGTGCTTTCATGTTACAGATGAGATGGGGGACCAATAACTATTGCATTAAGTATTTAGTGTAGACCAGGCACTGTCTTAGAGCCTGGGGATGCAGAGATAGAGAAGATGTTTTCTCTGCCCTCAAGATGCTCACTGTCCAGTAGGGGAAGAGAGATCAGTAAGTAGAGCAGTAAGTGCTGGGCAACCAGGGACTCCCCCTAAACTAGGGCTGGCAGCTGGGGGGGTGGAGAGGCAAACAATCTTCATTTTTAAAGTGCATTGTCAGGTTCTCTGCAGGAATCAGAATTCATTCCTATGGTCTAAAGGGAGAGACTGTAATGAAGGACTAATAAAGGCAAAGTTAAGAAAGTAAACAATGGATTTTGAGGTACCCTGAGAATATTAATGGTGAGAAGCCATTGTGTCCCTTAAAGCCAAAGGGGGCAGGGAAGAAATAGCGTATGATAAGCCAGTAAGCATGGAGAGGCACCTTTTCAGCAAGAGCTGCAGAGGGTCACGAAGAGGGTCACAGCTGCTGCCAGAAAAAGGGCACCAAAGCAAGGAGGGAGCAGCAAAGAAACGTCTCAGCCTCTCTCTGCTCTGGTTTTCCTGTTTTCCATTGGTGCTTCCCATTGGCTGAACTCAACTGGAAGCCAATTGCAAATGTGATGTAACCTGACAAAGTTAGCATCCCAAAACATAGAGCTAGGCAAAAAAAAACAGAAAGAATGGATCTGGGAGAGAGGGCAAATGGAGATTAACCAGCACATCTGGCATTTATAATTTTTCAAGGGGCCTAGGTACACACGCACACACAGGCATGTGCATTTGCACACACACACACACACACACACACACACACACACACACCCCTCATTCATTTGGCAAATACTTACCAAGTATCATTGGCCCTTGTTATCCATGGTGGTTTGGTTCCAGGACCCCTCAGACACCAAAATCTGCAGATGCTCAAGTCCCTGATATGAAATGGTGTAGTATTTGCATGTAACCTATGCACATCCTTCCATATACTTTAAGTAGTCTCTAGATTAGTTATAATATAAGCTTTAATAAAAGTTCTCCTTTGTATCTTTGCTTGTGCTAATTCCTCTGCCTGGAATTCCCTTTTTCACCATTTATTTAAGAAAAAGACTTGATAGCAGCTATAGAGACTGCATATGAATAGTGCCGGGCAAGATAAGAGGATGGCCAGGAAGCAGTAGTGGAAGTTGGAGGGGATTGGGGAAGAAAATCAACAGGAACAGGGCTCAGAATGAAAAGCAAGTGCCAAAGTAGTGACAGCAATTTCAAGATGGAATCTGTGAAACAAAAAGTTTACATGAGCAAGTTAGTTTTAAATCTCCATATCTAGCCGCCTTCAGCATTGTTTTGTGCTTGCCTTAAAGCTTCAAGTCTGAGTGGTTATTTCCTAATTAAAATGATTTGTTGTTTTGCATTAGCATTCAGTAATACCTGAACCCACTTTGTTTCATTTAATAATCTGCCAGGGCCTCCAGAGGTTGCTGATTAAAGTGTAAACTATTTGGAAAGAACTTTTGTGACATATCAAGAAACTTCAAACTTTATTCTTTAATCTCAGAATTTCACTAAAAATGAGATTAATAGCTAACACAACTCAGTGTGTAGTCTGTACAGTCTGTACAGGCAATTATTTTAAGTGCTTTACAGGTAGTTGAACAGTTAAGCTTCATTAACTCTGTGAGGTAGGTACTATTATTGTCCCATTTTACTGATGAGGAAAAAAGCAAGGAAAGTAGAGTTGACATGTCATGCCTACACTTGCACAGGTAGCAATTTGCAGTGCTAGAATTTAAACCCATACAGTCTAACTTCAGAGTTGGCTCACTTAATACCATACTACACTGCCTCACCATTTATGTAGGCAAATATATGGGTTAAGATCTAGGCACAAAGGTAGGCATTAACATATTATTTATCCTGGGAAATATTTTTATACTTCTAAAGCTAAAATTTACTTACAGCAATGTGCACAAATCTTAAGTGTTTAGCTCAATAAATTTAAAGTGTTTAGCTCAATACATTTTTAAATATAAATATACCCATGTAACCACCACCCATATCAAGCTATAGGACCTTTCCAGTACTCCATATGCCTCCTTCTTGTCAATAGTCCATACCTAGAAGTAATTACTATCTAATTTTCATCAACATAGATTAATTTTGCCTTTTCAAGAACTTCATATAAAGAAATCATATAGTAGGTCTTCTCTTGTGACTAATCCTTTCATCAAGCTTAATGTTTGTAAGCCTCATCCATTTTTGGTGTATAACAATAGCTTGTTCTTTTATATTATTGTGTTCTATTATATTGTATGAATCAGTCATTCATTGTACGAATCTATCATAGTTTGCTTACTCACCCTCCTGCTGGACACTCATGTTGTTTTTAGTATGCAGCCATTATGATAAAGTTGCTAAATATTTTTGTGCATGTCTTTAATGAATATATCATTTTATTTTTCATAAGTAAATACCACAATTGGAATTGCTGTATCCAAGTTTTAATTGATACTAAAAAACTGTTTTCCAAAGCGCTTGAACCAATTTACAATGACATCACTAATTTATAAGAGGAGTTCCGGTTACTCCACATCTTTGACAGTACTTCATATTGTCAGGCTTATTAATTTTAGCCATTCTGGTGGGTTTGTAATGGTTTTTAATTGTGGGTTTATCTTGAATTTCTCTCCTATAGCTAATGAAATTGAACACCTTTCCATCTGCTTGACCATTTGAACAGCCTCTTTTGTGCAATATCTGTTAGATAATTTTGCCTTTGTAAAATTGGGTTGTGTTTTTGTTATTTAATTTTGGAAGGAGTTCTTTATACATTCTGAGTATGAGTGATTTGTTGGATATATGTATTATAAATAATGCCAACCTGGGTCTCTGGGTTGCTTCTCTAGCCTCTGTTTGCACCTGTAACTCTGTGCCTTGCCTATTTGCTTTTTGATAAACAGAAATTCCCAACATTAATAAAATCAATTTTATAATTTTTTTCTTTTAGGGTAAATTCTTTTTGTGTCTTATTTAATACATTTTACCTATATCAAAGCCAGGAAGATATTCTTCTATATTTTCAGCTAGAAGCTTGATTACTTCGGACGTCACATTTTGGTTCTTAATCTACTTCAAATTAATTTTTGTGCATGGCCTGAGGTAGAGATCAAGCTTCCTTTATTTTCCACACTGATATTCAATATAAATTCAATATAAATGTAAACTGAGTGTCAATGTAGAAAATAAGGAAAACTTGCATTATTTATTGAAAAGATGGTCTTCTTCATACTGAATTGCAAAGCTTTAAGTCAAATGACCCTATGCGTGGGGATCTATTTCTGGACTCTATAATCTATTTTATTGTTCTGTTTTTCTAACTTAATACCAAAACTGCACTGTCTTAATTACTGTAGCTCTATAATAAGTCTTGAAATCTGTTAAGTATTCCAATTTTGGTCTTTTTTTAAAAGATTGCTTTGATGGACACATTTTTTATGTCCAATAATAAAGAAATGACTACATAAATTATAGTACCTCCATAAAATGCAAGAGTATGCATCCAAATTCATAAAATTTTGAATGATGCGGAAAAACACAAGAAATAATACTGAGTGAAGAAAAAAGAACATCGACTTGCAAAACCTGTATGACCTCCATTATGCACATGAAAAATATATAAAAAGAAGATGACAGGTAAATATGCCAGAATGTCAACTGTGGCTCTCTTTTCAAAGTGAAGTTATAAATATCAATTTCTGCCATTTTCTTGTTGATCTTGGATCCATTCACCACTTGCTGTGATCTTCTTTGTATTGCAAGGGGCTGAACCCTACAAACTATATTTCTCATGCATTCTTCCTTTCTGTCACTCCATGAGGACTGGCCAACAGAAGGCACTAGGAAAGAGATTGGGAATGGGATTTGCTTAGTTAGGCAGCATGTCCAGGCTGTGTCTTCTCAATGTTTTCATCTCCCTGTATGTGGCTTTGGTAGCTTCTTAGTGATCGTAGCACTTCTTTCATCCATCCTGCCACCCTTAAGGGTGACAATGGGTCTCTGGGTTGCCTCTCTATTCCATGTTTGCACCTTTAGCTCTCTGAAAGCATGTGGAATTAGTTCCTTAAATTACATTTCCTCTATTGAATTATTTGGAGTGATTCTATTTTTCTTAACTCGACTTTGACCTAGTAATTACTGTTTTCTTTTTTTTTTTATTATTATACTTTAAGTTTTAGGGTACATGTGCACAACCTGCAGGTTTGTTACATATGTATACATGTACCACGTTGGTGTGCTGCACCCATTAACTCGTCATTTAACATTAGGTATATCTCCTAATGCTATGCCTCCCCACTTCCCCCACCCCACAACAGGCCCCAGTGTGTGATGTTCCCCTTCCTGTGTCCATGTGTTCTCATTGTTTAATTCCCACCTATGAGTGAGAACATGTGGTGTTTGGTTTTTTGTCCTTGCAATAGTTTGCTGAGAATGATGGTTTCCAGCTTCATCCATGTCCCTACAAAGGACATGAACTCATCCTTTTTTATGGCTGCATAGTATTCCATGGTGTATATGTGCCACATTTTCTTAATCCAGTCTATCATTGTTGGACATTTGGGTTGGTTCCAAGTCTTTGCTATTTTGAATAGTACCACAATAAACATACGTGTGCATGTGTCTTTATAGCAGCATGATTTATAATCCTTTGGGTACATACCCAGTAATGGGATGGCTGGGTCAAATGGTATTTCCAGTTCTAGATCCCTGAGGAATCGCCACACTGACTTCCACAATGGTTGAACTAGTTTACAGTCCCACCAACAGTGTAAAAGTGTTCCTATTTCTCCACATCCTCTCCAGCACCTGTTGTTTCCTGACTTTTTAATGACTGCCATTCTAACTGGTGTGAGATGGTATCTCATTGTGGTTTTGATTTGCATTTCTCTGATGGCCAGTGATGATGAGCATTTTTTCATGTGTCTTTTGGCTGCATAAATGTCTTCTTTTGAGAAATGTCTGTTCATATCCTTCTCCCACTTGTTGATGGGGTTGTTTGTTTTTTTCTTGTAGATTTGTTTGAGTTCTTTGTAGATTCTGGATATCAGCCCTTTGTCAGATGAGTAGGTTGCAAAAATTTTCTCCCATTCTGTAAGTTGCCTGTTCACTCTGATGGTATTTTCTTTTGCTGTCCAGAAGCTCTTTAGTTTAATTAGATCCGATTTGTCAATTTTGGCTTTTGTTGCCATTGCTTTTGGTGTTTTAGACATGAAGTCCTTGCCCATGTCTATGTCCTGAATGTTATTGCCTAGGTTTTCTTCTAGGGTTTTTATGGTTTTAGGTCTAACATTTAAGTCTTTAATCCATCTTGAATTAATTTTTGTATAAGGTGTAAGGAAGGGATCCAGTTTCAGCTTTCTCCATATGGCTAGCCAGTTTTCCCAGCACCATTTATTAAATAGGAAATCCTTTCCCCATTTCTTGTTTTTCTCAGGTTTGTCAAAGATCAGATAGTTGTAGATATGTGGCATTATTTCTGAGGGCTCTGTTCTGTTCCATTGGTCTATATGTCTGTTTTGGTACCAGTACCATGCTGTTTTGGTTACTTGTAGTATAGTTTGAAGTCAGGTAGCGTGATGCCTCCAGCTTTGTTCTTTTGGCTTAGGATTGACTTGGCAATGCAGGCTCTTTTTTGCTTCCATATGAACTTTAAAGTAGTTTTTTCCAATTCTGTGAGGAAAGTCATTGGTAGCTAGCTTGATGGAGATGGCATTGAATCTATAAATTACCTTGGGCAGTATGGCCATGTTCACGATATTGATTCTTCCTACCCATGAGCATGGAATGTTCTTCCAATTGTTTATATCCTCTTTTATTTCATTGAGCAGTGGTTTGTAGTTCTCCTTGAGGAGGTCCTTCACATCCCTTGTAAGTTGTATTCCTAGGTATTTTATTCTCTTTGAAGCAATTGTGAATGGGAGTTCACTCATGATTTGGCTCTCTGTTTGTCTGTTATTGGTGTATAAGAATGCTTGTGATTTTTGCACATTGATTTTGTATCCTGAGACTTTGCTGAAGTTGCCTATCAGCTTAAGGAGATTTTGGGCTGAGACAATGGGGTTTTCTAGATATACAATCATGTCATCTGCAAACAGGGACAATTTGACTTCCTCTTTTCCTAATTGAATACCCTTTATTTCCTTCTCCTGCCTGATTGCCCTGGCCAGAACTTCCAACCCTATGTTGAATAGGAATGGTGAGAGAGGGCATCCCTGTCTTGCGCCAGTTTTCAAAGGGAATGCTTCCAGTTTTTGCCCATTCAGTATGATATTGGCTGTGGGTTTGTCATAGATAGCTCTTATTATTTTGAGATATGTCCCATCAATACCTAATTTATTGAGAGTTTTTAGCATGAAGCATTGTTGAATTTTGTCAAAGGCCTTTTCTGCATCTATTGAGATAATCATGTGGTTTTTGTCATTGGTTCTGTTTATATGGTAGATTATGTTTATCGATTTTTGTATGTTGAACCAGCCTTGCATCCCAGGGATGAAGGCCACTTGATCATGGTGGATAAGCTTTTTGATGTGCTGCTGGATTTGGTTTGCCAGTATTTTATTGAGGATTTTTGCATCGATGTTCATCAGGGATATTGGTCTAAAATTCTCTTTTTTTGTTGTGTCTCTGCCAGGGTTTGGTATCAGGATGATGCTGGCCTCATAAAATGCGTTAGGGAGGATTCCGTCTTTTCTATTGATTGGAATAGTTTCAGAAGGAATGGCACCAGCTCCTCTTTGTACCTCTGGTAGAATTTGGCTGTGAATCCGTCTGGTCCTGGACTTTTTATGGTTGGTAAGCTATTAATTATTGCCTCAATTTCAGAGCCTGTTATTGGTCTATTCAGAGATTCAACTTCTTCCTGGTTTAGTCTTGGGAAGGTGTATGTGTCCAGGAATTTATCCATTTCTTCTAGATTTTCTAGTATATTTGCATAGAGGTGTTTATAGTATTCTCTGATGGTAGTTTGTATTTCTGTGGGATTGGTGGTGATATCCCCTTTATCATTTTTTATTGCGTCTATTTGATTCTTCTCTCATTTCTTCTTTATTAGTCTTGCTAGCAGTCTATCAATTTTGTTGATCTTTTCAAAAAACCAGCTCCTGGATTCACTGATTTTTTGAAGGGTTTTTTGTGTCTCTATTTCCTTCAGTTCTGCTCTGATCTTAGTTATTTCTTGCCTTCTGCTAGCTGTTGAATGTGTTTGCTCTTGCTTCTCTAGTTCTTTTAATTGTGATGTTAGGGTGTCAATTTTAGATCTTTCCTGCTTTCTCTTGTGGGCATTTAGTGCTATAAATTTCCCTCTACACACTGTTTTAAATGTGTCCCAGAGATTCTGGTATGTTGTGTCTGTGTTCTCATTGGTTTCAAAGAAGATCTTTATTTCTGCCTTCATTTCGTTATGTACCCAGTAGTCATTCAGGAACAGGTTGTTCAGTTTCCATGTAGTTGAGTGGTTTTGAGTGAGTTTCTTAATCCTGAGTTCTACTTTGATTGCACTGTGGTCTGAGAGACAGTTTGTTATAATTTCTATTCTTTCACATTTGCTGAGGAGTGCTTTACTTCCAACTATGTGGTCAATTTTGGAACAGGTGTAGTGTGTTGCTGAGAAGAATGTATATTCTGTTGATTTGGGGTGGAGAGTTCTGTAGATGTCTATTAGGTCTGCTTGGTGCAGAGCTGAGTTCAATTCCTGGATATCCTTGTTAACTTTCTGTCTCATTGATCTGTCTAATGTTGACAGTGGGGTGTTAAAGTCTCCCTTTAATATTGTGTGGGAGTCTAAATCTCTTTGTAGGTCTCTAAGGACTTGCTTTATGAATCTGGGTGTTCCTGTATTGGGTGCATATATATTTAGGATAGTTAGCTCTTCTTGTTGAATTGATCCCTTTACCATTATGTAATGGCCTTCTTTGTCTCTTTTGATCTTTGTTGGTTTAAAGTCTGTTTTATCAGAGACTAGGATTGCAACCCCTGCCTTTTTTTGTTTTCCATTTGCTTGGTAGATCTTCCTCCATCCCTTTATTTTGAGCCTATGTGTGTCTCTGCATGTGAGATGGGTTTCCTGAATATAGCACACTGATGGGTCTTGACTCTTTATCCAATTTGCCAGTCTGTGTCTTTTAATTGGCACATTTAGCCCATTTACATTTTAGGTTAATATTTTTATGTATGAATTTGATCCTGTCATTATGATGTTAGCTGGTTATTTTGCTCGTTAGTTGATGCAGTTTCTTCCTAGTCTCGATGATCTTTACAATTTGGCATGATTTTGCAGTGGCTGGTACCAGTTGTTCCTTTCCATGTTTAGTGCTTCCTTCAGGAGCTCTTGTAGGGCAGGCCTGGTGGTGACAAAATCTCTCAGCATTTGCTTGTTTGTAAAGTATTTTATTTCTCATTCACTTATGAAGCTTAGTTTGGCTGGATATGAAATTCTGGATTGAAAATTCTTTTCTTTAAGAATGTTGAATATTGGCCCCCACTGTCTTCTGGCTTGGTGAATTTCTGCCGAGAGATCAGCTGTTAGTCTGATGGGCTTCCCTTTGTGGGTAACCCAACTTTTCTCTCTGGTTCCCCTTAACATTTTTTCCTTCATTTCAACTTTGGTGAATCTGACAATTATGTGTCTTGGAGTTGCTCTTCTTGAGGAGTATCTTTGTGGCGTCCTCTGTATTTCCTGAATTTGAATGTTGGCCTGCCTTGCTAGATTGGGTAAGTTCTCCTGGATAATATCCTGCAGAGTGTTTTCCCACTTGGTTCCATTCTCCCCGTCACTTTCAGGTAAACCAATCAGAGGTAGATTTGGTCTTTTCACATAGTTCCATATTTCTTGGAGGCTTTGTTCGTTTCTTTTTATTCTTTTTTCTCTAAACTTCTCTTCTCGCTTCATTTCATTCATTTGATCTTCCATCACTGATACCCTTTCTTCCAGTTGATCAAATTGGCTACTGAGGCTTGTGCATTTGTCATGTAGTTCTTGTGCCGTGGTTTTCAGCTCCATCAGGTCCTTTAAGGACTTCTCTGCAGTGGTTATTCTAGTTAGCCATTCATCTAATCTTTTTTCAAGGTTTTTAACTTCTTTGCTATGCGTTCAAACTTCCTCCTTTAGCTCGGAGAAGTTTGATTGTCTGAAGCCTTCTTCTCTCAACTCGTCAAAGTCATTCTCCATCCAGCTTTGTTCCGTCACTGGTGAGGAGCTGTGTTTCTTTGGAGGAGGAGAGACGCTCTGATTTTTAGAATTTTCAGTTTTTCTGCTCTGTTTTTCCCCCATTTTTGTGGTTTTATCTACCTTTGGTCTTTGATGATGGTGACGTACAGATGGGGTTTTGGTGTGGATGTCCTTTCTGTTTGTTAGTTTTCCTTCTAACAGTCAGGACCCTCAGCTGCAGGTCTGTTGGAGTTTGCCAGAGGTCCACTCCAGACCCTGCTTGCCTGGGTATCAGCAGCGGAGGCAGCAGAACAGCGAATATTGGTGAACAGCAAATGTTGCTGCTTGATGATTCCTCTGGAAGTTTGTGTCAGAGGAGTACCCAGCTGTGTGAGGTGCCAGACTGCCCCTGCTCGGGGGTGCCTCCCAGTTAGGCTACTCAGGGGTCAGCAACCCACTTGAGGAGGCAGTCTGTCTGTTCTCAGATCTCAAGCTGCATGCTGGGAGAACCACTACTCTCTTCAAAGCTGTCAGACAGGGACATTTAAGTCTGCAGAGGTTTCTGCTGCCTTTTGTTTGGCTATGCCCTGCCCCCAGAGGTGGAGTCTAAAGAGGCAGGCAGGCCTCCTTGAGCTGCGGTGGGCTCCACCCAGTTCGAGCTTCCCAGCCACTTTGTTTACCTACTCAAGCCTCGGCAATAGTGGCGCCCCTCCCCCAGCCTCACTGCTGCCTTGCAAATTGATCTCAGACTGCTGTGCTAGAAACGAGTGAGGCTCCGTCGGCATAGGACCCTCCAAGCCAGGCGCGGGATATAATCTCCTGGTTTGCCGTTTGCTAAGACTGTCGGAAAGTGCAGTATTAGGGTGGGAGTGACCCGATTTCCCAGGTGCTGTCTGTCACCCCTTTCCTTGGCTAGGAAAGGGAATTCCCTGACCCCTTGCACTTTCCAGGTGAGGCGATGCCTTGCCCTGCTTCAGCTCATGCTCAGTGCGCTGCACACACTGTCTTGCACCCACTGTCTGACAGTCCCCAGTGAGATGAACCCGGTACCTCAGTTGGAAATGCAGAAATCATTCGTCTTCTGCGTCACTCACGCTGGGAGCTGTAGACTGGAGCTGTTCCTATTTGGCCATCTTGGCTAGAGTCCAGTAATTACTAT